>NC_000006.12:94718912-94869851 GCF_000001405.40 Homo sapiens | reverse complement strand
TGCCATCCCCATCAAGCCACCGATGACTTTCTTCACAGAATTGGAAAAAACTACTTTAAAGTTCATATAGAACCAAAAAAGAGCCCGCATCGCCAAGTCAATCCTAAGCCAAAAGAACAAAGCTGGAGGCATCACGCTACCTGACTTCACACTATACTACAAGGCTACAGTAACCAAAACAGAGATATAGATCAATGGAACATAACAGAGCCCTCAGAAATAATGCCGCATATCTACAACTATCTGATCTTTGACAAACCTGACAAAAACAAGCAATGGGGAAAGGATTCCCTATTTAATAAATGGTGCTGGGAAAACTGGCTAGCCATATATAGAAAGCTGAAACTGGATCCCTTCCTTACACCTTATACAAAAATTAATTCAAGATTGATTAAAGACTTAAACGTTAGACCTAAAACCATAAAAACCCTAGAAGAAAACCTAGGCAATACCATTCAGGACATAGGCATGGGAAAAGACTTCATGTCTAAAACACCGAAAGCAATGGCAACAAAAGCCAAAATTGACAAATGGGATCTAATTAAACTAAAGAGCTTCTGCACAGCAAAGAAACTACCATCAGAGTGAACAGGCAACCTACAGAATGGGAGAAAATGTTTGCAATCTACTCATCTGACAAAGGGCTAATATCCAGAATCTATAATGAACTCAAACAAATTTACAAGAAAAAACAAACAACCCCATCAAAAAGTGAGCAAAGGATATGAACAGACACTTCTCAAAAGAAGACATTTATGCAGCCGAAAGACACATGAAAAAATGCTCATCATCACTGGCCATCAGAGAAATGCTGGTTTTGCAAATGCTACTTGGTTCAGTTTGAAACAATCTCACTCCCACCTGTTAAGATTTATGTTTTTTAAAAGTCCCTCTCAAGCCTACACAAATCTATTTCTTAAGTTAGAATTATCTTGGCTTCAATCAATAAGAGAACTGTATAACACAGTGCTGTTTAGAAGAGTATTAAATTTAGCTAAGTATTGGCCACTCTATAACACTTATTTCTTAACATTTAGATATTACAACATTGAGGACACTCTTCTCTTGGAAACTAGGAAAATGTCAGTGGTTTGCTCCAGTCCCGAATTTCAGTTAGGACTCTCAGTGTGTCCCATTTAGTCTTCTTTAGTGTTTAGTCTTTTCTCTGATATTGGTTAGTAGTAATATGCATACTTAAATTATTTTAGTAGTAAGAGAACAAGCTGCTTGAAAGCAAGTGCAATTTTAATTTATTATGTTTATTACAATGTCTAGTTCAGAATCTTTTATAAATTTAAAATTAAATTAATTGTAGATGACAAGATTTCCAGAATTCAAATTTTTCTAGGATTATTTTTAACATAATTATTACCAGAAAATCATATCATTTTATTAGGAACAATTCATAGCTTTTTCATTATTCAGAATAGCGTTGAGGAAGAGAACTTATCTCAGAACCAATATATTCTTAAGAGAAAGGTGCATTCATATTGACAGGCCTCTCAATATCTAATATGTAAAAAAGAGAACTAGTACAAAATTTCAGTATTTTACATGAGACTTTACTATATGTAATATCGAGAAAATTCCAATTCCAAATGAGATTTTTATGGAAAATAAGTGTGGATTTAACAGACAGTGAAGGCTCTATGAAGAAATTCGTAATGCAGCTTTAGAAATTCACCAGCAGTAAATCACTGGAACTGGTTGAGTGCTCTATGATGAGGTGTGGAGAAAATACAGTGTGAAATAGCAGAGATATTGACAAGGATATAACTTAAAAGCAATAAGCACTTGATGATTGGAAAGTTTCCCATTCTCAAAAGGAGACTAGAAATCGCAGAAAAGTAGGCCACCGAGTTTAAATTAAGAAATGGAGTAGATAATCTAGTAAACTGACGATTCCTATAAAGTAGAGTAATGTGCTGCGTAACAGTGTTTTGGTCAATGACAGATCACATATACAAAGGTGGTCCTGTAAGATAAATGGGGCTGAAAAATGTTATTGACTAGTGACAATATAGCCATTATGACATCACATTGAAACACATTACTCTCATGTTTGTGGTGATTCTGGTGTAAACAAACCTACGGTTCTGCCAGTTTTATAAAGGTGTAATACATACAATTAATTATATACAATACATGGTAATCATAATAGTCAACTATGTTACTGGTTTGTTTACCATACTATACTTTTATCATTATTTTAGAGTGCACTTCTTGTACTCACTAAAAAAAATTAACTGTAAAACAGCCGTAGTCAGGTCGTTCCAGAGGTATTCCAGAAGAAGATTTCATTATCACAGAAGATGATAGCTCCATACTTGTTATTGTCCCTCGAGGCCTTCCAGTAGAACATGAGGTGGTGGAAGACAGTGATATTGATGTTTCTGACTTTATGTAGGCCTAGACTAGTGTGTGTGTATGTTTGTTGTTAACAAAAACGTCAAAAAAGGAAAAAATAAAACATTTAAAAATATTGTAAAAGTGTATAGGATAAGGATATAGAGAAAAAATGCTTTTGTGCAGCTATAAAATGTGTTTGTGTTTTAAGCTGTTACTACAAGAGTTAAAGAGTTAAAAAATCAAAAGTTTATAAGCAAAACTATTTACAATAAGCTAAGATTAATTTATTATTGAAAAAAGTAAACTTTTTTATGACTTTAGTGTAGCCCAAGTATGTAGTGTTAATAAAGCCTACAGTAGAGTACTTAATGTCACAAGCCTTCATATTCACTCACCACTCACTCACTGACTACCCAGAGCTACATCCAGCCCTGCAAGCTTCATTTCTGGTAAGTGCTCTAAAACATGGCTCAGGTATACCTTGCTTTTATCTTTATACTTCATTTTTACTGTATCATTCCTATGCATAGATAGTTTATGTTTATAAATACTTACCATTGTGTTACAATTGCCTACTTTTTTTTTTTTTTTGAGGCAGAGTCTCACTCTTTCACTGAGGCTGGAGTGCAGTGACACCGTATCAGCTCACTGCAACGTCCGTCTCCTAGGTTCAAGCAATTCTCCTGCCTCAGCCTCCCAAGTGTAGCTGGGATTACAGGCACCCACCGCGATGTCTGGCTAGTTTTTATATTTTTAGTAGAGACAGTGTTTCACCATGTTGGCCAGGCTGGTCTCGAACTCCTGACCTAAGGTGATCCACCCACTTCGGCCTCCCAAAGTGCTGGTATTACAGGAGTGAGCCACCATGGCAGGCTGCCTACAATATTCTGTATGGCAACACGCTGCGCAGATTTGTAGCCTAGGAGCATTAGGCTACACCATATTGCCTAGGTGTAGGCTATACCATTTAATCTGTGCTGATATGGTCTATGATGTATGATGTTGTACAGTGATGAAATGTCCTAAAGAAATATTTCTCAGATCATATGACCAGTCATGGTGATCGTTGTTCTGATAGATTTACCTGTAGAAGTACCACTACCATCAACAATGTACAGACGTTCCCCAACTGATGATGATTCCATTTAGAATTTTTTGACTTTAGGGTGGTGTGATAGTGATATGCATTCAGTAGACAGTCATATGATACTCCCCTGCCATGCTGGGCAGCTCCCAGTCAGCCACTTGATCACAAGGATAAATTACTGGTAATCTACAGTGTACTGTGTTGCCAGATAATTTTGTTCAACTATAGACTAATGTAGTATTTGGAGTATATTAAATTTAGGCTAGGTTAAGCTATGATGTTTGATAGTTTAGGGGTGTTAAATACTTGTTCAACTTTTAATGGATTTATTTTGACATGATTCCATCATAAGTTGAGGAGCATCTGTATTACATTACAGTACTTTCTGGGTTGTAACTTGTCCTCAAGCACCGTATTTTTTTTTAATGACCAAAACTACTCCAAAAAGTAAAAAGAGTAATTATTTCTCCCATCATATGTTCAAAGAAATTGGGCTCAGTGAGCTTATCTGAATTTATTTCTGAAACCACGTGATCAGTATGAGAAAAAAATAATTAAAAAAGAACTTCTGATCCTTCATTAAGTATTCTCTCCATAGAGATGAATCTACATGCTCCTTTACCTCATGGTGCAAATTTTCAAGCTGATTGACTGGGTTAAAAAAGGAGTCTAAGGCTATGAAACAATGTGGGGTTTTACCCCCGTGAAGCTATAATTGATGTGCTTGGGGACTGCACCTCAGTCCTGACTTCATTATTAAAATTCTCAACAAGGTACATTGATGAACTTTAATGAAATGAATATTTTTTTCTGTTGAAATAAAGGGTAGGAGAGAAAGATCAAAAGTGTTAGTAGAAGTTAAAAAAAATCTAGGATAAATTTAGTGTATGAGAGCTGGAGCAGCATCAGATTCCCATATTGTGTCTGAATTTACGAGCTCCTAAAAGTGTGAAAAAGGCTTAGAAACTTCATAGATACCTCAATGCCCATGATCCACCCACTTTAGGGTGTGATTTGAAAAGCAAATGGTGTGTTGATGGCATTAAAAAAGGTATAAAAGACATTTTAATGACAGTGTAATCAAAGATTATACACCAGCTGTCACAACCAAGGCAACCATAGTAATTGGGGGTGACCAGAAGGCTTTCCAAAATAAGCTTCTTTTAAAGATTCATTTAAAACTGTCACCAAGTGACTGTTGACATTTTAATTTTTTTCTTTAGATTGGGAGTTATTTTATTTCTTTTTATCTTTTCTTTGTAGAGCATTATAGCTCAATGCATTATCAGTGTACTCTATAGTGAGTGATCAGATACAGATGCAAAGAAAAAAGGAAAATATTTGCAGAATAAACATTTTCATTATAATTAAGTCCATTTTGAAGGCAGACACTGAAATAATTCATTAATATGACGGTTTGCCTTAAATATTACAATAGAGGTAGTGTGTGCCTTCAACGTGAATATTTGTGTCATTAGTTTTGGTTAGCAACTTTTCTTGATACTTTGGGCCAATAATTATATGACCACAAAGCAATTACTAGAATTTGTATCATTGTAATAATTCATAATGATGCTTTTTATGGTCTTCTCAATAAATCTGCCTAAAAATAAATTTGTATCATTGTAATAATTAATTCATAATGATGCTTTTTATGATTTTCTCAATAATTTTGCCTAAAAATAAGTTACCAATATACTTAATCTAAAAATTTATTATGCTGCTTTAAGCATTTGCATTTTGAACCTTTTCTCAAATCTTCACTGAAATTCCACAATAATAATTTTTCATTA
The DNA here is from genome assembly GCF_000001405.40 of Homo sapiens. NCBI lineage: Eukaryota > Metazoa > Chordata > Mammalia > Primates > Hominidae > Homo > Homo sapiens. The sequence continues at coordinate 94,864,622 of NC_000006.12, read as the reverse complement.
TGTTAGTAAATTACTTTGTATTTTACAAAATGTTTTCTACATAATTGCTTTTGTTTTTCACAACAGCACAATAAGCAAGTGAGGACAAGCATTAATTAGCAGCCACATTTTATGGATGTGAAAATTGAGACTGATTTCAGATTAGATAATGAAGAAAAAAGTGTATCTGAGACTTAACTGGTAATACAGCAATATTTGGTATTGTCAGTTTGTTAGGTTTAAGCTATTTTAATATGGAAGTAGTGGTACCTCATTGTGACTTTAATTTGCATTTCCCTAATGACTGATGAGTTGGAGTATCTTTTCAGCTACTTATTTACTATCTGTATATCTTCTTTTTTTTTTTTTTTTTTTTTTTTTTTTTTTTGAGACGGAGTCTCGCTCTGTCGCCCAGGCTGGAGTGCAGTGGCGGGATCTCGGCTCACTGCAAGCTCCGCCTCCCAGGTTCATGCCATTCTCCTGCCTCAGCCTCCCAAGTAGCTGGGACTACAGGCGCCCGCCACCACGCCCGGCTAATTTTTTGTATTTTTTAGTAGAGACGGGGTTTCACCGTTTTAGCCGGGATGGTCTCGATCTCCTGACCTCGTGATCCGCCCGCCTCGGCCTCCCAAAGTGCTGGGATTACAGGCGTGAGCCACCGCGCCCGGCCTGTATATCTTCTTTGCTGAAGTATCTGTTTAAATCTTTTGTCCGTTTTTAAATTAGGTTGCTTTCTTACTGTTGAGTTTAGAGAGTTCCTTATGTAGCCTGCATACAAGTTTTTTTGTGGGATATATAATTTGCACACATTTTCTCCCTGTGTGCAGCTTATCTTTTCAACTGATCAGAGGAACTTTTACAGAAGTTTTTAATTTTAATTAAAGCCTATTTGTCATCTTATAGATTGTGCTTTTAGTATTGCATTTAAAGAAAAAATTGTTTAATCCAGGGTTACAAAGATTTTTTTCTATGTTTTCTTTTACTATTTTTATCAATTTACACTTTAGATTCAAGTGTATAACCCATTTTGAGGTATTTGTGAATAAAGTATGAGGTGTGGTTTGAGATTGATTTTTTATATAGTGTTCAATTTTTCAAGCACCATTTGTTGAAAAAGGTTTTTTTCTATTAAATTGGCTTTGTTTATTTTTGCAAAGCTCAAATGAGTGCATTTCTGTGTGTCTATTCTGAACTAACTTACATTCCATTTATTTAATGTGCTCCTCCTTTCACCAACATCACACTGCTGGGATTACAGTAATTTTATATTAATTATTGAAATCAGGTAGTGTGGATTTTTCAACTTTGTTCTTTGTCAGAAAGGTTTAAAATATTCTGGTTTCTTTGTCTTTCAATGTATTTTAAAAATCAGCTTATTATCTAGAAAGATTATTGCTGAGATTTTCACTCAAATCAATCAATATAAGAGAAACAATATCATAACAATGTTGTTATCTTCACATCTACATACATAGTATACTTTTCTAGTGATTTAAGGTTTTGAATTTCTTCATCCATGTTTTGTAGTTTTGAGAATATAGATCTTGCACATATTTTGCCAGAATTATGCCTAAGTAGTTCTTGTTTTTTACAGCCCTTCCTTTTTTTTCTTATAATTTTGGTGAGATTTTACATTTTAATCAGTCAGCCTTTCTCTTATGGTAAAGCTGCTTGAAAGCTGTCAGAGGTCATGTTTCCTAACTGACTGAGGAAGCATAAAGCTGCTTTTCAGAGAAAAGCAGAGTACAGAGAGATTAAGAGAAGCAGAACACAAGGAAAGATTAAGAAAATGTGTTAGTCTTGGAAGCACACAAGTCAGTAAGGATCCATGACCAAAACACAGAGTCATTTACATTTGTTTTACAAAAATGTCACTTCTTGCTGAGCTATTTTGTCATCTACTGGAAAAAAAAAAACAGTGGCATCCCATAGAAAGTATTCGCTTAAATATGCATTTAGAACATGAAGCAGTTATTTTTCTCCAGTTCAGGCCTAGTACACCATAATCTCTAACATTGCACCTTAAGATTATGAAGTTTTCTTAGCCACTAAGGGACAGATATCACAAAGATACCAATGACCTTTTCTCTTGATCATTCTATCTAAAGAAGAAAGTTCCAAATAGCAATAATTGTAGAATGTAGTATAATATTTATGTAGGAAAGGAAACTCTCCAACATCTTTTATAACCATGCATTTATAAATGTAGGGATTGTATTTATATGATGTGTGTCTATAGCACTCTATTACAGCTCCCTGTAATATGTATATCCACACAATTGTTTCAAAGTTTGGATGAACAATAATAAATGTCAATACCTTGAGTCACTCCCAAGTTATGTTATTCCACCCACACTCACTCTACTTCAAAGAGATTGGAGCTGGATCCTAGACTTTTCTGTATCTTAAATTGAGTGTGACTAGGAGTAGATAAATTTCTAAACGAAAGAAAGCCCTACAGACTCTATCTTAAGTTTGGTCATCTGTTCATAGTTTAATGAGGAAATTATTTTTAGAAAATGTTTATACTATAAATTATCGAATTCCATGAAGTATGATCTAGATTCCAAATATCAATGATAAAGGATTATATTTAAAAAGGAATGGAAAACTTGCTACAACCTTATAAATACTGGGCAACAAATGCAAGCAATGCAACTATAGATAAGTCAAACATTGTTTTCATTTCATATGATTCAGTGGGAAGAACACATTACCTGAGATATAGTTTTGCCTATAAAAAATATTGACTAATCAAACATTTGGATAAAAATATTAGTTTACAGGAAATACAGCAAGGAGAGGTGCTTGCTAAATGACACCATAAGGATCCAATCAGCTAAATCTAGATTGTGAAAAATTCTATGCCCCAAAGACCAATTTATGTTTTTTACAAATAAATGGTATAAAAAAGTATAGAAGTATAAACTTCTAAAAGACTAAAAGTGACTTAAGAAACATCAATCAAATTCTTGGTCAACCTTTCCAGATCTTCATTTGAACAATCCTATCATAAAAGTACATGTTTGAGATCACTGTTGAAGTAACAAATAACATTAGGAGATTATTGTTAATTTGGTTTTGTGTGCTTATGTTATTGGAGTAATATTTTTAAAAAGTCCTTGCTATTACAAATGCATACTGAAGCATTTATAGATGAAATAATATATATTTAATATTTAGTTTATAGTACTCAGAAAAAACCACACTAATAACCAACAAATATTGGGAAGACAACAAATGAAACAAGCCTATACAAATGTTGTAACTAATTGTATAGGCTAGATACCAGACACGCGTGAGTTTAATGTACCAATCTCTCTCTTTTTGTGTATTTTTAAAAAATTCCTATAATAAATAAAAATTAATACGAAAAAAGATCTAACAACACAGGAAAATATTGAAACTAAACACATATATTAAAAAATAGATTTTCAAGTCCATGAATAGTGTAACTAACCCCATGTAAAAAGTAACTTTATAAAACATTATACTTTATAAAAATATGTTTGTGAATATGGAACTACATATATTAAAATGATTTTCTCTGATACAATCACTTTCTGTTTCTATATATTTTAGAACTTTTATAACTTGAATGCATTTTATAATTGGAAAACGTTTAAAATTATTTACAACTATATTAGTCAATTATCCATTTTTACTTAGTCTTTGGGGAAGCATGCAATTCTTTGATTCCTGTGCTTTTAAATGGCCTACAATGATCTTCCTACCTTTGTCAAATCACCGTGGATAACATGTAACATCTTAACATGTTTATAACAAATTGAATTTGTATCAATTTAAATTATAACATTCTTATTCCTTACAATGCAGTCTACTCTCATTTTAGGACACATTTATGTTGTTGTTGTTTTATACTTGGGTTGGGAATACATCACTCTCATAAACTTAAAGCTTCTCAAGTTGGGTATGATAAAAAATGAGCAAGAATTTATTATTATGACTAATTATTCTGTACCTAGATGCTAAATGAACCTTTTTTAGTTGTCTCAAACTTGGCTGAGGCCTGGGTCTGAAACAAAGGTTGTCAATTTATTATACATTCTAGGAAAAGTTGCCAAGGTCTCATTTGTGCAAAATGTATTAAGAGGGAACTGAAAAAACTGCACTTTGCTTCTAAGCATAATTTAAAGTCCTATGAGGGGGAAACAAGTAGAGAAACCTCAAGAGTGAGAAATTCTTTGCATGGAGTTGTCTGAATGCTGTGCATTTTCTCTCCTTTCCTTACCATTTACAGAGTGTTGGTGCTTTTCAAGAAGAGAGACCCTTTCCTTTTCCTTGTCTGAATATTGGATGAAGTCGAGAAATATTGGAGCCTCAGGGCTCTAAAAAGCAGAACATGGCAAGAGTCTGACCTGTATGTGCTGTAGTTTCTGGGGATTGGATTGGTGCTTGGCTCTCAACTAGAAACACCTCCAGAGATCCCTGAGTTTTCTGAAAGCAGATCATACAGACAGCACTCCAGGGGTTCAGGTAGAGGATCCCTGCATACCAGAGCGGACACTGGGAAGGAAATTGTGCTTACTCACCTTTGGCTAGTGTAGTAGGTTGAATAGGGCCACTCATCCAACTGTTTCTGTCCCAAAATGCATGCCAGAATGTGACTATTTGGAAATAAGTCTTTGCCGACGTAATTAGCTAGGGTGAGGTGATACTAGATTAGGGTGGTTCTAAATCCAATTACTAGTTGATGTGGTTTGGCTGTGCCCCTACCCAACTCTCACCTTTAATTGTATAATAATAATCCCCACGTGTTAAGGGTGGGACCAGGTGGAGGTAATTGAATCATGGGGGCAGTTTCCCCAGCTATTCTCATGATAGTGAATGAGTTCTCACGAGATCTGATGGTTTTACAAGGCCCTTCCTTCCCCCTTTGCTTGGCATTCATTCTCTCTCCTGCTGCCCTGTGAAGTGGTGCCTTCTGCTGTGACAGTAAGTTTCCTGGGGCTTCTCCAACCATGTGAAACTATGAGTCAATTAAACCTTTTTTCTTTATAAGTTACCCAGTCTTGGGTATTTCTTCATAGCACTGTGAGAACAGACTAATACACCGGTGTTCTAGTAAGAGGAGAGTACACAGAGAAACTCACGTAGAGGAAGGCCATGTGAAAATGGTAGCAGAGACTGGAATCATGCTACCACAAACCAAGGAATGCCCGGGAACACCAAAAGCTGGAAGAGGCAAGGAACACCAAGGATTTCAAGCAACCACCAGACGCTAGGAGAAATTGGGTAGGGATACCATCGGGATGGTTTCTCCCTGAGAGCCTCCAGAAGGAACCAGTTTCCTGACACCTTGATTTCACACTTCTGTCCTCCTAAACTGTGGGAGAATGGCAGTTCTAGGATATTAGTACAGCTAGAGTAATGAAACTTTATCATTCATATCAAATATTTTGTGAGAGTAAATGCCTTACAATAGCTTAAGCAGCCCTCAAAATCTGTCACCTGTGTCTCTGACACTCTGGAGAAGCAAATTTGCAGTGTCTGGTATTTTAATGCTCTGTGATAGCCGCGAGGAGGGTGTTTTGAGATAGGTCGAGATCAGGCTGAGATCACTATTTTCCGTGATTGAGAAAGCTCCCATGGGACACTTGACTAAATGTTGACTTTGTGGTCAGTTTACTGCTCCTGACTTGAGGGCCATCCCCTCTTTCTGCTTTTTCCCCTACTTGTGCTGAGCTGGTACTCCCCATAATGCTATTTCTTCTGCACTGTATTCAGAACAATGCCGAGATGTAAAACAAATTACCCTTTTGGGAAAGTTGTTATAAAGAGAGATTAGTACACAGCCTTAACAACTCACCTGAATACACAACTGGAGGGTTGCTTTTAATGAGTACAATCTTTAAAAAGTCCTGTGAATGCTATGAAAATGTAGCATATAATTACTGTGTGTTTTGTTGTGCCCATATGTATAAGCTAGTGGATCTATTTATTATTGGGATAATTCTTGAACTTGGGATAATTCTCAGACTGCCCATAATATCCTCCTGTCTCTGTGTACTGTTGTGTGTGTGTTTCTGCAAACAGATGAAAAACACATAGATTTTCTAAGGCTTTTATTTTATACAGCAAACATCAGGGGAGACTCAGGAATGTTTACCGTAAGTCTTATACTGGTTGTAACTATAAAAGATTTTATAATTTGGAAAGAGCTTGCGTTAATATCTAACCTCATTATTTTTCTTATTTCTGTTAATGTTGTCCATATCTGGTTGCAGTTACTATTATGAATATCTACATAAAGTGGCTTGAATATTATAGGTCATTATTCATTCCATTGAAATATTGTGAAATGGTTTTGTCAAGCCCCAGAACAATAAAATGAATGAGTTCATAAATTCTGTTTTTCTTTTTAAATTTTATTTTTAGATATTCCAAGTTAAGCTAGTGCAGAAATCCACAAGATGATCAAGAGTTGTATAGCTAGAGCATATATCAATGAAGTTCTGAAAACTTAGGAACAGTTCTTTCATACAGCTAACTTATGATAACATCACTGGTCTTTGTGGAATAATGAAACCTCAAAGCTAAAATATTCTCATATTTTCTAGTGAATGCAGTTTCATATAACCCGATTATTAAGCTTTTTTATCTGAACCAACTGAAAGAAAGCTCTTATCAAATAATTCTGTAAATTAGATAGATGATAAATGCAAACATTGGTTGGGGCAGACAGTCTATCAAATATAATAAACTTGTAAAATATTTGCTATATTATAAATTCATACTTCTTTCATACTTGTGAATATATATTATCCTTTCAGAATAATATTGCTAAACAAAGAGCAGGATAAAATTTGTCAACAAACATTATTTATAATTGATCTATATTAGAATGTAATACATTGACAGAAAGAAAAAAGGGAAAATACTTATGTAGACTTTCTATTGGCAGGTTGAATATCATTCCTAAAGAAATAACTAATGAATTACTGCAACCAAATTTTTCCAAAGAGAATATATTCCAATTTTATGCAAATTCAAGAAATCAAATTAGGGAAAATACAAGCCAATTCACTTTATGAGGTTAATCAGCTCATTTAATTTTAATACCTACATCTTGAAAAAAATATTAAAAAGATAAATTCGAATCCAATCTCATAGATTAACTTGTTCAAGATTTTTGCAACACTGCTAAACACAGTAGTAAAATCCAGTATTATGTATTAGTATATAGAGTTCAATTTATATATCGTAAGAGACATACTTTGTCATGGTTCCTGAGTATACCTACATGTTGAGTGTACCATAATAACAAGGCTTTTCTACTTCCCCTACAGTGAGGAATTTCTCTAGCTGCTCACACAGGCAAATAAGTTCAAGACAACTACAGCATCACTACTGTGTAACTGCACACTCCATGGGGCAGAATATCTAGCTCTTTTTTTATTTTTATTTTCATTTTTTTGTTTATTTTATTTTATTTTTTTTGTTAAACAAAAATAAATTTTATTCTTTTTTTATTATTATTATACTTTAAGTTTTAGGGTACATGTGCACAATGTGCAGGTTTGTTACATATGTATACATATGCCATGCCGGTGCGCTGCACCCACTAACTCGTCATCTAGCATTAGGTATATCTCCCAATGCTATCCCTCCCACCTCCCCCCACCCCACAACAGTCCCCAGAGTGTGATGTTCCCCTTCCTGTGTCCATGTGATCTCATTGTTCAATTCCCACCTATGAGTGAGAATATGCGGTGTTTGGTTTTTTGTTCTTGCGATAGTTTGCTGAGAATGATGATTTCCAGTTTCATCCATGTCCCTACAAAGGACATGAACTCATCATTTTTTATGGCTGCATAGTATTCCATGGTGTATATGTGCCACATTTTCTTAATCCAGTCTATCATTGTTGGACATTTGGGTTGGTTCCAAGTCTTTGCTATTGTGAATAATGCCGCAATAAACATACGTGTGCATGTGTCTTTATAGCAGCATGATTTATAGTCCTTTGGGTATATACCCAGTAATGGGATGGCTGGGTCAAATGGTATTTCTAGTTCTAGATCCCTGAGGAATCGCCACACTGACTTCCACAATGGTTGAACTAGTTTACAGTCCCACCAACAGTGTAAAAGTGTTCCTATTTCTCCACAACCTCTGCAGCACCTGTTGTTTCCTAACTTTTTAATGATTGCCATTCTTACAGGTGTGAGATGGTATCTCATTGTGGTTTTGATTTGCATTTCTCTGATGGCCAGTGATGGTGAGCATTTTTTCATGTGTTTTTTGGCTGCATAAATGTCTTCTTTTGAGAAGTGTCTGTTCATGTCCTTCGCCCACTTTTTGATGGGGTTGTTTATTTTTTTCTTGTAAATTTGTTTGAGTTCATTGTAGATTCTGGATATTAGACTTTTGTCAGATGAGTACGTTGCAAAAATTTTCTCCCATTTTGTAGGTTGCCTGTTCACTCTGATGGTAGTTTCTTTTGCTGTGCAGAAGCTCTTTAGTTTAATTAGATCCCATTTGTCAATTTTGGCTTTGGTTGCCATTGATTTTGGTGTTTTAGACATGAAGTCCTTGCCCATGCCTATGTCCTGAATGGTAATGCCTAGGTTTTCTTCTAGGGTTTTCATGGTTTTAGGTCTAACGTTTAAGTCTTTAATCCATCTTGAATTGATTTTTGTATAAGGTGTAAGGAAGGGATCCAGTTTTAGCTTTCTACATATGGCTAGCCAGTTTTCCCAGCACCATTTATTAAATAGGGAATCCTTTCCCCATTGCTTGTTTTTCTCAGGTTTGTCAAAGATCAGATAGTTGTAGATATGTGGCATTATTTCTGAGGGCTCTGTTCTGTTCCATTGATCTATATCTCTGTTTTAGTACCAGTACCATGCTGTTTTGGTTACTGTATCCTTGTAGTATAGTTTGAAGTCAGGTAGTGTGATGCCTCCAACTTTGTTCTTTTGGCTTAGGATTGACTTGGTGATGCGGGCTCTTTTTTGGTTCCATATGAACTTTAAAGTAGTTTTTTCCAATTCTGGGAAGAAAGTCATTGGTAGCTTGATGGGGATGGCATTGAATCTGTAAATTACCTTGGGCAGTATGGCCATTTTCACGATATTGATTCTTCCTACCCATGAGCATGGAATGTTCCTCCATTTGTTTGTATCCTCTTTTATTTCATTGAGCAGTGGTTTGTAGTTCTCCTTGAAGAGGTCCTTCACATCCTTTGTAAATTGCATTCCTAGGTATTTTATTCTCTTTGAAGCAATTGTGAATGGCAGTTTACTCATGATTTGGCTCTCTGTTTGTGTGTTATTGGTGTATAAGAATGCTTGTGATTTTTGTACATTGATTTTGTATCCTGAGACTTTGCTGAAGTTGCTAATCAGCTTAAGGAGATTTTGGGCTGAGACAATGGGGTTTTCTAGATATACAATCATGTCATCTGCAAACAGGGACAATTTGATTTCTTCTTTTCCTAATTGAATACCCTTTATTTCCTTCTCCTGCCTAATTGCCCTGGCCAGAACTTCCAACACTATGTTGAATAGGAGTGGTGAGAGAGGGCATCCCTGTCTTGTGCCAGTTTTCAAAGGGAATGCTTCCAGCTTTTGCCCATTCAGTATGATATTGGCTGTGGGTTTGTCATAGATAGCTCTTATTATTTTGAGATACGTCCCATCAATACCTAATTTATTGAGAGTTTTTAGCATGTAGGGTTGTTGAATTTTGTCAAAGGCCTTTTCTGCATCTATTGAGATAATCATGTGGTTTTTGTCTTTGGTTCTGTTTATATGTTGGATTACATTTATTGATTTGCGTATATTGAACCAGCCTTGCATCCCAGGGATGAAGCCCACTTGATCATGGTGGATAAGATTTTTTATGTGCTGCTGGATTCAGTTTGCCAGTATTTTATTGAGGATTTTTGCATCAATATTCATCAAGGATATTGGTCTAAAATTCTCTTTTTTGGTTGTGTCTCTGCCCGGTTTTGGTATCAGGATGATGCTGGCCTCATAAAATGAGTTAGGGAGGATTCCCTCTTTTTCTATTGATTGGAATAATTTCAGAAGGAATGGTACCAGTTCCTCCTTGTAACTCTGGTAGAATTTGGCTGTGAATCCATCTGGTCCTGGACTCTTTTTGATTGGTAAGCTATTGATTATTGCCACAATTTCAGCTACTGTTATTGGTCTATTCAGAGATTCAACTTATTCCTGGTTTAGTCTTGGGAGAGTGTATGTGTCCAGGAATTTATCCATTTCTTCTAGATTTTCTAGTTTATTTGTGTAGAGGTGTTTGTAGTATTCTCTGATGGTAGTTTGTATTTCTGTGGGATCAGTGGTGATATCCCCTTTATCATTTTTTATTGCATCTATTTGATTCTTCTCTCTTTTCTTCCTTATTCGTCTTGCTAGCGGTCTATCAATTTTATTGATCCTTTCAAAAACCAGCTCCTGGATTCATTAATTTTTTGTAGGGTTTTTTGTGTCTCTATTGCTTTCAGTTCTGCTCTGATTTTAGTTCTTACTTGCCTTCTGCTAGCTTTTGAATGTGTTTGCTCTTGCTTTTCTAGTGCTTTTAATTGTGATGTTAGGGTGTCAATTTTGGATCTTTCCTGCTTTCTCCTGTGGGCATTTAGTGCTATAAATTTCCCTCTACACACTGCTTTGAATGTGTCCCAGAGATTCTGGTATGTTGTGTCTTTGTTCTCATTGGTTTCAAAGAACATCTTTATTTCTGCCTTCATTTCGTTATGTACCCAGTAGTCATTCAGGAGCAGGTTGTTCAGTTTCAATGTAGTTGAGCAGTTTTGAGTGAGATTATTAATCCTGAGTTCTAGTTTGATTGCACTGTGGTCTGAGAGATAGTTTGTTATAATTTCTGTTCTTTTACATTTGCTGAGGAGAGCTTTATTTCCAAGTATGTGGTCAATTTTGGAATAGGTGTGGTGTGGTGCTGAAAAAAATGTATATTCTGTTGAATTGGGGTGGAGAGGTCTGTAGATGTCTATTAGGTCTGCTTGGTGCAGAGCTGAGTTCAATTCCTGGGGATCCTTGTTGACTTTCTGTCTCGTTGATCTGTCTAATGTTGACAGTGGGGTGTTAAAGTCTCCCATTATTATTGTGTGGGAGTCTAAGTCTCTTTGTAGGTCACTTAGGACTTGCTTTATGAATCTGGGTGCTCCTGTATTGGGTGCATATATATTTAGGACAGTTAGCTCTTCTTGTTGCCTTGATCCCTTTACCATTAAGTAATGGCCTTCTTTGTCTCTTTTGATCTTTGTTGGTTTAAAGTCTGTTTTATCGGGGACTAGGATTGCAACCCCTGTCTTTTTTTGTTTTCCGTTTGCTTGGTAGGTCTTCCTCCATCCTTTTGTTTTGAGCTTATGTGTGTCTGCCTGTGAGATGGATTTCCTGAATACAGCACACTGATGGGTCTTGACTCTTTATCCAATTTGCCAGTCTGTGTCTTTTAATTGAAGCATTTAGCCCATTTACATTTAATGTGAATATTGTTTTGTGTGAATTTGATCCTGTCATTATGATGTTAGCTGGTTATTTTGCTTGTTAGTTGATGCAGTTTCTTCCTAGTCTCGATGGTCTTTACATTTTGGCATGATTTTGCAGTGGGTGGTACTGGTTGTTCCTTTCCATGTTTAGCACTTCCTACAGGAGCTCTTTTAGGGCAGGCCTGGTGATGACAAAATCTCTCAGCATTTGCTTGTCTGTAAAGTATTTTATTTCTCCTTCACTTATAAAGCTTAGTTTGGCTGGATATGAAATTCTGGGTTGAAAATTCTTTTCTTTAAGAATGTTGAATGTTGGCCCCCACTCTCTTCTGGCTTGCAGAGTTTCTGCCAAGAGATCCGCTGTTAGTCTGATTGACTTCCCTTTGTGGGTAACCCGGCCTTTCTCTCTGGCTGCCCTTAACATTTTTTCCTTCATTTCAACTTTGGTGAATCTGACAATTATGTGTCTTGTAGTTGTTCTTCTCGAGGAGTATCTTTGTGGTGTTCTCTGTATTTCCTGAATCTGAATGTTGGCCTGCCTTGCTAGATTGGGGAAATTCTCCTGGATAATATCCTGCAGAGTGTTTTCCAACTTGGTTCCATTCTCCCTGTCACTTTCAGGTACACCAATCAGACGTAGATTTGGTCTTTTCACATAGTCCCATATTTCTTGGAGGCTTTGCTCATTTCTTTTTATTCTTTTTTCTCTAAATTTCCCTTCTCACTTCATTTCATTCATTTCATCTTCCATCACTGATAACCTTTCTTCCAGTTGATCGCATCAGCTCCTGAGGCTTCTGCATTCTTCACGTAGTTCTCGAGCCTTGGTTTTCAGCTCCATCAGCTCCTTTAAGCACTTCTCTGTATTGGTTATTCTAGTTATACATTCTTCTAAAGTTTTTTCAAAGTTTTCATGTTCTTTGCCTTTGGTTTGAATTTCCTCCCATAGCTCAGAGTAATTTGATCATCTGGAGCTTTCTTCTCTCAGCTCATCAAAGTCATTCTCCATCCAGCTTTGTTCCGTTGCTGGTGAGGAACAGCGTTCCTTTGGAGGAGGAGAGGCACTCTGCTTTTTAGAGTTTCCAGTTTCTCTGCTCTGTTTTTTCCCCATCTTTGTGGTTTTATCTACTTTTGGTCTTTGATGATGGTGATGTACAGATGGGTTTTTGGTGTGGATGTCCTTTCTGTTTGTTAGTTTTCCTTCTGACAGACAGGACCCTCAGCTGCAGGTCTGTTGGAGTACCTGTGTGTGAGGTGTCAGTCTGCCCCTGCTGGGGGGTGCCTCCCAGTTAGGCTGCTCAGGGGTCAGGGGTCAGGGACCCACTTGAGGAGGCAGTCTGCCCATTCTCAGATCTCCAGCTGAGTGCTGGGAGAACCACTGCTCTCTTCAGAGCTGTCAGACAGGGACATTTAAGTCTGCAGAGGTTACTGCTGTCTTTTTGTTTGTCTGTGCCCTGCCCCCAGAGGTGGAGCCTACAGAGGCAGGTAGGCCTCCTTGAGCTGTGGTGGGCTCCACCCAGTTCGAGCTTACTGGCTGCTTTGTTTACCTAATCAAGCCTGGGCAATGGTGCACGCCCCTCCCCCAGCCTCACTGCTGCCTTGCAGTTTGATCTCAGACTGCTGTGCTAGCAATCAGCAAGACTCCGTGGGGGTAGGACCCTCCCAGCCAGGTGCGGGATATAATCTCCTGGTGCACTGGTTTTTTAAGCCAGTTGGAAGAGCGCAGTATTTGGGTGGGAGTGACCCGATTTTCCAGGTGCCGTCTGTCACCCCTTTCTTTGACTAGGAAAGGGAACTCCCTGACCCCTTGCGCTTCCCGAGTGAGGCAATGCCTCGCCCTGCTTCGGCTTGTGCACGATGCGTGCACCCACTGACCTGCGCCCACTGTCTGGCACTCCCTAGTGAGATGAACCCGGTACCTCAGATGGAAATGCAGAAATCACCTGTCTTCTGTGTTGCTCGCGCTGGGAGCTGTAGACAGGAGCTGTTCCTATTGGGCCATCTTGGCTCCTCCCTCTTATTTTTATTTTTTTACTTTCTATAAGGTTTGCTGTTTTACAAAAAAGGGCCAGGACCTTACCCTTACCCTGCACTCCTGAACTGAGATGCAAACCCACTGCTTCCTTATCATTCATCTGGACCCCTCATGTCACCCAGTGGGACTTGGGAACAAAGAGGACCAGTAGAAATATCCAAATGCTCATACTATTAGCTCTGCCTTAAGAAATAAAGTCCTTTGCCTCTGACCCAAGATTATCATGCCTTCTACCATTGTACCTGAATCAGTATCAAAACAAGTGGGGTAACTGAGGTCCTTCAAAAATCTTGATAATATAATTATCTAAATCTGATATTATACAATATTATACATATACACACATATATATTTATAATTAAATATATTTTAGGAAGATAGTAACACTCTCAATTTAATACGTTCTATCTACACATGGCATACACTTGTAATTCTATACCATTAGAAGAATCCCCATTAAAGTCAAAAGCAAGAGGAGCACACCTGCTATCAGTACTTCTAGTCAACATTACAGTGGAGGTCCTAGCTACTGTCATTGAATAAGAAAGAAAGAAAGTGGAATATGTAAGAACCAAGAAGAAAAATGAATTATTTTTATTTAAGATAAGGTTAAAATAAATATCCAAGACAATTGCCCCCCAAAAAATGAGAGCATACATGCAAACAACAAAAAGCATAGTTAAAAGATATCGTCTTCAAATGTAATACCAATATAGTATATATATATTTTTTCTCTGACTTTCAATAATTTCAGTTTACTCTGTGTGTGTGTGTGTATATATATATATATATACTGTGTATATATACTGTATATATATTGTGTATATATATACTGCATATATATACTGTATATATATAGTGTATATATATGCTCTTAGATAGAATTAGATGATAATGTAAAAAATCAATTCAATTAAGATTAATCTCCGAATTTGCTGAACTTTTACTAAAAATTTATTGATTTTTAAAATAAATTTTTAACATGACTCTACAATAATATGAAGATTATGGGCCAAAAAAACCTAAAGAATCCTGAAGAGGTAGTCAAGTTTGGAATTCTTCCCATAATATATCAGTATTCATTATGGAAGTGTAATGCCTAATGTTAGCATAGGGTTGTAAGACTTTGATTAGCATAGGGTTGTAAGACTTTGATCAAGAGTCAAAGGAATGGAACATGAATAAACCATTATATGGGATGCCAACATATGATGGAGATAATATTTCTAGGAAAATTGGGCAAGAATGAATCATCTAATATTGTTTCTAGCATATTTTAACATGCAATAAGTTAATCTGCAAAATATTTAGAAGGAAAAAAAACCTATACAATCTTAAGAATTTCTTGAAGCCCACAAAATTTTTATAAAACTTAAAGAATAATGTCAATGGGTTTGATTATACTAAAATAAAATAAATTATATCAAAAGACAATTGGAGAAATAGTAAACCTCTAGCTAGGTATAATACTCCTATATAAGTTCTTTGACATGTGTATGATTATTGAAAGGAAAGGAAAAATTAAAACATTGCCTGGTGGGATTTTAAGATAGGTATATTTATACCTATTACAACTACAACAGAATGGGTTGACGAAAAAGTGACAAATATTATGGTAAGTTACTTATATTTCCTTGAAGAGGAAAAACTTTAATTATTTTCACAGTATAATACTAGACTATAAAATAATAATGTACATTATATTTCCTAAGGTAAATACATGAACAATATCTACACACATACAAAACCCTGAATATAATGATGTAGGCAGGGTAAAAGAAAAAAAATGAAAAAATATATAGCAACAAATACTAATCAAAAGAAATCTATATTGACTAAATGTGTATATACTCATAAACATAGCAACAAATTACATAAAGCAAAAATTGATAGACTAGAAAGATGGACAAATCTACAATGCACAGATGCAAATCTAGTTGTATAGTTGCAGACTTTGTCTTAAATTGACAAACAGTAAGTGTACAGAAATGTAGAACAATACCCTACCAACTGCATCTAATACATTTATAGAATACTCAACACTAAATGAACAGAATGTACATTCATTTCAAGTACACATGGAACACTTCCCAAAATAGAATATCTGATAGTCATAAAACAAAGTTAATCAAATGTAACTTTGTTTAAGATTATGCAAAGTAAGTTTTCTGACTATGTTAGAATCTAACTAGAAATCAATAACAAAAAATGTTTTAACTTCCCTTTGGAGAGCAATTTGAAAATACTAAAGTAACACACCTCATTGTCAAGCAATACCACTTCTTCACATGTACTTTAGAGAAACTTCTTCATGTGCTCACAAAGGGACATCTACAAAAATGCTTCTAATAGTGTTGTTCATCCCAGTAAACAATATGGGGCATCCTGAAGGACTCTCAGTTAATCAATCAAAAAAGCAATCAATAGTACATACAAGGTTATGTAATGGAGCACTGTGAATGATGTAGAGCTACACGTATTAATAGAGATTTGTTTCTAAAAATAAATTATATATATAATTTATAAAAAAATATATAAAATATAATATATAAAATATATATTCATCTTTTAAAGATAGAAGAAATTAAATAAGCCTGGAAGATAAGACAGAGGTTATCTTTTGATGTAGGGGAGAGGCAGGAGATAAGGTTGATAGAAAAGATGCACAGAACATTTCAAATATAATTTAAAGTTTTCATTTCTAACGTATAGGTGAGTGTTGGGTTCAATTATTTATTATATGCTAGAGGACAAGTATGTTATATTTAAAGTTTAAATGCAATTATAGATTTAAAATGAAAGGTCAGTGATTTATGAAAAAAATGTTAAGTTGATGCCTACCTGTAAATTTTATATTTAAATGTTTAGGATAAAAATATAGAAGCCTGGTAAAAATTAAGAAGGATTTGAATACTGGCTTGGTAATACCAAGAATCAATGAGGTTGTAGAGCAAGGAGAATGCTTGCATATTGATCTGGGAAGAATAAAGTCATCCATTTTGGAAGCTGTCTAGCAGTTCTTAATAAAGAACACTTCTGAGTATATTTTACGGAACATTCCGTCACTGTTCTATCAGGGCTGCAGGGTTGAAAGATAAAACAGGATTCCCAATTAAATTTGAATTGTAATAACCAACAATAATATATTTTTAGTATAAGTATATCCATATATTGCGTGGAACATACATTAAAATTTTATTTGTTGTTTATCTAAAATTCAAATTTAGCTGGGAGCCTTGTATTTTTTATTTACTAAAACTGACAAACCTAATAAGGGTTTGTGTACCTTATTAAGTTAGCAGTGAGTTGAAGGCAGTGTACATTTTATTTTTGAGGCTAGTGTTTCTCAAAGTGTCATACTTGAAGCAACAGCAGCAGTAGCATCACCTAGGAATGGGTAAGAAACACAAACTCCCAGAATTCATTCCAGATTTACTAAACCAGAAACTCTGGTTCTTGTGATGTGTAATTTGTGTTTTTACTAGTCCTCTGATGCTCACTAAAGTTTGGGAAAGGTTGGTTTATTCAAACAGACTAGTAAAATGTTTAAGGTATCATTATCACTTACCTGCATCACTGTCTCAGTAGTTCATTGCATCCACATTTGCTCAGCTCCAATCTACCTTGTAGAGAGCAACTAGAACATGCTTTTAAAAATGTCAGATGGACTTACCTGTACAAACTCTTTTAAGGCTTCATATTGCCACTGTAATACAGGTATAATGTTTGTTACACTTACAGGAATTTTCTTAGTCTGCCTTCCTGCCTCATCTTGAACCACTGTGATTTTTATGCTCCTATATTTTGCTTTTGTTTCATTCTTTCAAGTGCTAAGTTCTTGAACTTCTATGCTTTTATCAACCAACAGAAAAATATAGCTCTCTCCATCTGAAACGGTTTTCCTCCCATTTACTCTCTTGTTTTCCCTTATTAACTCTAACCTATACAGAAATTGCAGCTTATAACTGACTCTTTTGGAGAGACCTCTCCAGTCCCTAACAGTCTATAATTGTACTCTTTGAAAGGTAGTCTTTGGAGGGTAATATTAAACAATATGTATACAAATGTTTAGTATTACGTTTTATTCCTTTTACTTTATTAGTAACATGTTATAGAGATTTATGTTGCAGAAAGACAGATGCACTAACATATAATTCTATCTCGATGATCAACTCTTAGGTTTACCTGATTTAATAATGACACAAATTTTCATATAAAAGAAAGTAACAAGCATTGCATTTTACGTTAATTATTAACATAAGAAGAACACTTTAATGGATAAAGTGATGCAATTTATCCATACATGACTCACTATTTAACTTTGAATCATCTTCTAGAACTTGTCAAATATCTTCCTCTGAAAAACAATAATATCCTTGAATTCATGGACATTTCATAAAAATTAATAAGTAATGCATGCAAAACTTTTTTTGGATGTAGGCAGTAATTAAATAAAAAAATTATAGAAAGATTTATCAGAAAGCACAGAAATAGATTAAAATAAAATTAATTCTATACTATGTTACAAATTATCAGTGAATCTTACCCAGCATAATTTTGAGAGACTCATAGCTCTACTTATTAATATCACTACTAACCACTACAAAATAGGACATTTGACATGTCTAACTCTTAGAATATCTGCTGAAATAATAGGCATTAACATTAAGGCATTTAATATAAAGAACCTATGAATAAGTGATAGCATCTTTTAGTTTTTAATCCTGTGCTTAAATAGACTTCACTAATATTTTCTTTAAATAAAATCTAAGCAATATGTTCTTTATTCCTTAACATATTTGTATACTCTTTCTTTCAGGGGGCTAAGAAATAGAAAAATAAATCATTTGTTTCAGTAGAATTCTGACAGCATCTTCATTATTTTACAAAAAATGTAATTTTTGCCTTTTTGTTTCAGAAATGCTACCATGCTCTAAGCAAAGTCAATGATAGATGCATAATAATTTTTACATATATATGTATAATAAATTTTAAATACACAAACTGTCCAGATATGAGGTTATAAAGCATATCTATCTGCTCCATCTTTAAGTGGCCACTGTATGTTAGCTATGAAGGATAGGGTCATTAAAATAGTAATTAGATGCTGCTAGGCATGAGCATATCATCTGATTAAGTCAGGAACAGTATCACATGCTGTGTATAGCAGTGCATAGGTGCAATTTATTTAGCCTTTCCTTCAAACAGCCCACTGGCACCTACCACATGCAGGCTTTAGTTTAGATGCACTAATTGTCTGATCCATCATATTGAAATTCATGGTCTTATTTGAAGAGATGATGAGAAATTATTATTTAAAGGATATCAAAGTGATGGTAATTGTGCAAAATAATCGTTAGAGTCCATGTTTTGACAAGCGTATCCTTTTCATCATTATTATCTATTTACTTCATTGAGTTTATTTTTCTCTGTCAGTAGACATGTTAATTTTATTCAAAAAGGAAACTAAAGCCTTTGTCCAAGATTTTTCCAAAATTCAAATTCAGTACTATTGATGTGTCTTTGTAGCTTTACTGTGATATATATCTATATGTATATATATGTTTTTTTTTGCAGAATGTGAGCAGAATATTAAGTAGGACTTTTTATATCTGTGGTTCTTAATTCTAAATCTGAATCAGTTGTCCTATTTTCTAAAAATCTGGAGTTAACGCTGGTATTCAAAAAAGGCAATGGCTTAGGCAAAATAGCTTTTGAAAATACATATTAAAAATAGGAACAATAAGACATAAAAGGAAAATAGCATGGTCAAAGTCCATGAACCCACAGGAAATTATATGAGCCTGCTGCACAGGAAATGAATATTCTCATTATAATTTTCATCATCAGATTAAAATGTTATTAAGAGTGTTGCATTTGTACAGAAATAAGAAATTCCAGGGATGTTTAGATTTTGAAATGCCAAATCAATTATTTTGGCCATATTATACTCTCGTAGTTTCTGGAATTGATCACAACCAGTATAATCAATTATAAAAAACAAAAGAAATACTCCTGGTGTGAGACCTTTTTTCCTATCACATCAGATGGCTATTCAAATGAACTTGTGAAAAACCTATGTTGTCAAAATAATATATCTTAAAAAATCAGTAACATAGAAGTGTAAAAATCCATTAATAGAACTGTTAAGCAAATAGTACAGGACAGGACAGTTAATAATCTAAAGCATAAAGTAATCAATTCCACATTCCTATCCAAGACTTCATATTCACTGAAGTAGAAGCATGAAGGTACAGGGGAAAGGAGAGCATGGCGTAGGGTAGACAGACTTTGTCAACCAGCCTTAGGACATATCTTTCAGTGGACAAGCATAAAGTAAATTTAACCTGGACCTGAGTGTGCAGTTTTTACTTATTGTTTCTCAGTCAGAAGAGTGCCACGTTTCCGAAAAACTTCCAAAGACTCTTTGAATTGCCATACATATGCTCGCTTTTACACCTTGGAGAGGATGTGAAGAGTAAACATGGAGGAAGTCATTTACCTAATGTCCCATGAAGATTTCAGGCCAGATTCTATTCTGTTGATTTTAATTCATAATACAGAAGTTAGGTTATTGTAAGAAGTTCAATTTATCTACAGTCAGAAGACAAGAGTGTTGTATCACATTTGAATAGTTATGGAGGTAATTTAAATGATATTTCTAAGAATTGATGTCTTTGTTTGCTAAATGGGAACAGTAAGAGTAATTTCTGAATCCAATTTTGGGGAGGATTAAATGAAAAATGTTTGATAAACTAGTAAGTGAAGTATAGTTTATATTTTTTCTTTATTATAT
Organism: Homo sapiens; assembly: GCF_000001405.40. Taxonomy (NCBI): domain Eukaryota; kingdom Metazoa; phylum Chordata; class Mammalia; order Primates; family Hominidae; genus Homo; species Homo sapiens. Next base: position 94,844,315 of record NC_000006.12, on the reverse strand, counting down.
TTAGTAGTATAAGCTTGAAACTTTAGGTTTCACCACAATAAAAATAACTGCCATTTTAAGAATGCCAAAGAAAAGTTACCCACAGCTTCCCCTAGATGAATTTGATATGTGTGTAGTAGGGGCAAGATGTAAAATATTCCTATATTGTTATTAAAGAAGAAAATAATTGGGGCTATTTTTCTTCCAGTTTTCTAAATATTCCTGAGGACACATAGTTACCAGAAATTTGGAGCTCCCAAATTCACAACAAAATGAGTGTTGTTAAAATAACAGTAATTCCAAGTTTGATTTTTAGTTTCTACATTTCCCCCCAAATGTGAGAGTGCTTTAAATGGGGTTCCCGTGGGCTATGTGGCATGTTTCCTATGCACTGGCTCTCACCATTAATAATTTTCCCTCTCCATCTAAATCAATGCTCCTGCATGTTCCCAGAGTATAAAGAAATGGTTTCCTATGCACATCAATCATATTTTGAAATAATTTAAATGAATATATCTCATTCTACCCATATTTGCTCGGAGCTTATTCTGCTCATTATTAGAAAAATAAGGCGAAAAAAAATTACCCCTATCAAATTTTGAATGTGCATTTCTTTCTCTTAAAAATCAATAAGAAAATACATTCTGATAACTGACAAAAGAGTCTTCAGCTAGCAAGTAATAACTTAATTTCTGTATAGCTTAAGGGGGGTTGCAAAGGGAGTGTGAGAAGTTCATTATTATCCAGCAGAAAAGAGGGAGCATGCTAAGAAGAAAGCAGCATCTTTCCTACTGGGATTTCTCTTGGACTACATGATTTGCATGAAGGGCGCCACATCAAACACAGTGGGTGCCCTTTTTCAAATATTAATGTGGAGCTTGTTTTAAGTTCTCTCTTGACTTTGTGCCACCTTGTATCAAAGGAACTTAAAAGTAGGTCTTGCGGGTGGGGGATAACTTTTTCAACTGTTTTAACACTTAGTGGAATTCTTTCTGCATTTGATCAGTGTGCTTCAAATTTGTAATAATTTGATATATATGCACATTCTTCTAGAGCTTATTTTTCATTAATAGTCTTTTTATGTTTTGTTTCTGTGTGGTGGGTTTAAATATCTTCAACCAAATGGATTTAAGAGATTGACAAGTAAACGACACGCTGAAGCAATAAATACAGGCACTGATAACTACTCGAATTTATTGTGTAGGGAGGATCCCTAGTTGCTGGTATTTTAAATGAACATTTTTAGCTTTTGAGTACAGGCATTTAATCTCTTTCTTGCAATATTACAACAAATCAAATTTGAAAACGGTTATGGTGATGAGTCTGTCTGGGTGCAGATGTACATAAAATAGGGTATGGGTCATGGAATAAGATTGTTAAATTGATCCACAGTAAGTAAATTTGGATTTGTCTCTGTTGTCTAAGTGGGTCAAACAGTAATTTGATCTTACTATTGCTTGTTAAATAATTTAGTGCTGCAGCAGAATAGTTCACATTCAGACATGTTTTTGATTATTAATTTCAAGAATTAAAATTTGAAATATTTATAGCTGGATGTCATTTTTTGCATCCTTCCTAAAACACAAGATTGAAATAAGATTCAAATTAGGAAAGTACATCTTGAAATTTAAAATCTACATATGAGAACTGTTATCTTTGGAAGAAGATTATTTTATAACATAGTTTTATTGAAAAATAATCATTAAAATGTTATGAATTTTATGTTCTTAGTCTCCACTATAAGATGTTATCCCACCTCTTTGGTTATGCTTTCTTCCTTCACCTTTCTCCAAACAATGTTACATTAGCATTAAAAAATGGCATATTTGTCTATACTGAAAATAGGCTTATTTCTTTAATACGTACCACATTGCCAGGAGAAATAAAACTCAAGTAGTAAACAAAGCTGGTCTTAGATTTTATTCATAATAACAGATAATAATTAGGTATTCTTTCTAGGGATCCTGATCATGACTTTCTAGAATAAAACCTTTCACCGTATTCATACTATAAAGAACTTTGTAGACAATTTATTTACAGATGGTGCTTTAAAAAATGAAAATTGTGTGCTATGAACTGAACTGCCCTGCCCAAATCCATACGTTGGAACTTTAAGCCCCAATGTGATAGTATTTGAAGAAAGGGCCTTTGTCAGGTATTTAGTTTTAGATGAAGTCATAATGGTAGGGCCCTCATGATGGAGTTAGTGCCCTTATAGAGGGAAGAGACACAGGAGAGATTGTTCTCTCTCTTTTTGCTATGTGAAGACACAGCAAGAAGGCAGACACCTACAAGCCAGGAAGAGAGCCCTCACTAGAAACTGACCTTATTGGCACCGTGATCTTGGACTTCCACCATTCAGACTGTTGAGAATATATTCTGTTATTTCAAGCCACCCAATTTCTGATATTTTGTTATGACAGCCCAAGCTAACGAATATACTGCTTGAACACACGTCTACCCATAAGCAATAAAACCACATTGAATAATATACTGTTTTATACTATGTGAAGTATTTTTGACACTAAATGTCTGAGATAAATTATAAAAATAAAACATTAGATTAAAAATATCAGGGTATGAGCCCTATTTTTTCTTCAGGTAATTTTTAACAGCAGATAGGTTTATAATCATAGTCTCATATTGCTTCTAATATTAATCATATTAAATTATAATTTACCTCCCTTTTGTCTATAAATTATCTATAATAAGTCCTAATACATGCAGTATTAGAACCAAATATATATTTTCTTTCAAAATACTGTATATATATTTCAATTTCCATGCTTAATGTTTTCATTTTTTATTGAACTATATTATCTCAATGATGCCTTAAATTAAAATGTATTACAGCAAAATAATATATGTAACATGTACACTTAAAAGGATAATTTTAAACCCTTGAACATACTGTAGAAGTGGAAGGATTTAACATTGCTAATACCTTACATCTAGCCATGTACTACTTCTCTGCTATCCCATTCCCTAGTCTTCCCTTATACCCATGCAGGAAAATACTCTCTTGGGTTTTGTCTTCATCATTTCCTTGCTTTTAAAAATAGAAAAAAACCATAGAAGTTATTTCACCCAAAGTGATACACTTTACTTTTTTTGCTTGTTTCTGAGTTTTATAAAATTTATAATAATGAATTTAGTTTGTGATAGTCAGATGTCCACATTCTAATCACTGCAACCTGTGAATATGTTGAAAGCATGTAATTGTATATTCATTCAATGAAGCATTCTACTTCTAAGATATATTCATGGCTTTAGAGTTAAACAATTCCATTGTATGAATATTCGACTGTATTAGTTCAATCTCATATTGCTATAAAGAAATACCTGAGACTGGGTAAATCATAAAGAAAAGAAGTTTAATTGGCTCACAGTTCTGCAGGCTGTACAGGAAGCATGATGCTGGCATCTTCTTGGCTTCTGGGGAGGCCTCAAGAAGCTTACAGTCATAGTGGAAGGTACTTTACATGGCGAAAGCAGGACCACACACATTTAAATGACCAGATCTCATGAGAACTCACTCACTAGACAGTACCAAGAGGATGGTAGTAAACAATTTATGGGAAATTTGTCACCATGAGCCAGTCACCTCCCATTAGGTCCCAACTTCAACACTTACAAGACAACATGAGATCTGGGTGAGGCCACAGTTCCGAACCGTATCAACTAAAATTTATTTTATTTTCCTGTCAATGCACATTTCTGATGTTTTTAAAAACCAAAAAGTTTTTGTTATATTTTTGTTTTGTTTTTCCCATTGAGAATAATGCTGCTAAGAATATTAAGAACAACATGTATCTGATGCCAGATGCTAATTCTTAAAAAAAAAAATGTAGGTTATATTGATAGAACAGGACTTTTAGGTTAATGGTTTAAAAATTTTTTTAATTTACAGTATAAAGATAATTTTTTTCTGAATTTGTTGTACCATTTTTTCCCATTAGCTCCCAATGACCTATATCTTCCCTAATATATGTTATTAACTTTTCTATAAAGGTTATTTATATATTATGGGTTCTTTAGTTATTTGTGTGAAAATATCTTCTCTCAACATATGATTTATGGTTTTGCTCATTTTAGTGCCTTTTGATGTACAAAGTATTTCATTTTAATTTCAATTTGTCAACTTTTTCTATAATATTTACATTTTATTTTTCTTGTGGATAATACATGTCCCTGTGTCATTTATGGAGTGGTCTCTTCCCTCAGTAATTTCAAATACAATCTCTGTTATTCAAGTTTCTATTCATAGGGCAGTTTATTTCTTTACTCTGTTTTGTTCTACTCTCCAAAACCACATTGTGTTTATTTCAATAAGGCTAAAATGAGTCTAGGTATCTGTTAGTTCAAATCTTTCTTAGGACTCTCTTCGCCATTCTTAGCTCTGTGTTGTTCCACATACTATTAAGTGGTGAAATATATATATATATTTAGAAACGTACAATGATTATATATGTTTAATATATTAAAATAACATAAATATTACAGTATTTACCACCCAGATTAATACACAGAATAATTCAGAATCTTTGACAAACCCCTGCATGCCTCTTCCTCAATACATTCAGGAGAGACAAAGTCTCCTGAAATTTATGTTAAACATTTTCTTATTTTTCTTTTGTATTATATTATCTTTTTTTGTATATATGTGCCCAAATAACACACTGTATATGATCTTTTAGGACTTGCTTTTTTTGCATGTGAATTATATTTGTATCATTTACATAGTTTGGTTTGTGTTTGGGTACATAAATACATTTGATTTTTATTTACTCTTACAGGTTATAAGTGTATTAAATGATTTAACATTTCTTATAATTTTGATTATCTATGCATATGATTATATTATTTGCAAACCAGTTTTGATTCTGTTTTTTTCTGTTCTAATTCTAATGATATTAGTATTTATCTCCAATTTAATTTGCTAATAAGGTGCCCCACCAAAAAAAAAAAAAATGAATATAGGTAATGACAATTTAATTGAACTTAATTTTTAAAAGAGTTTCCATAATATTTTATTATAAGTGTCTAGGTGAAGTGAAAATATATTCACACAAAAACATGTACATGAAAAGTCATAGAAATCAAATATTCATAATAGCCAAAATCTGAAAACAACTCAAATGTCTGTCAGCTAATGAATGGATAAATAAATGTGCAGTTATTGGTTCTGGTAATGCTTGTACAACTTTGCAAATACATTAAAAAACATGGAGTTGTACAATTTAAATGAATGAAATATATGGAATATAAATGATATCTCAGTAAACCTGTTCCCAAAAAACAAAAACAAACATAGTAAAGACATGCGATTAGAAAAAATACAAGTAGAATATCAGAAATAAGAAAAAATTTGATTTGGATTAGGTTTTTATGTTAGTAAATGGATAATGTCCTAAAATAATACAATGTAAATAAAATTTGAAAGCACTAATAGATGAAAAAACAATTACATGAATTATATTCTTTTACTGATTAATTTTATCAAATGTACAATAAAATAAAAAATAATCTCAAGATACTTTGCATGTGTCCAGATAATATTTTTAGAAAGGGGTAACTGCAATCAATAACTGCAATCCTATAGTAAGCTTATAGGATCATGACACCAAAATCCAGACAAGGATGGAAGAAACTGCATCACAAGTCATTCTTACAGTAATAGATACAAATGTTTGAAATTTGTAATAGATACAAATGTTTTGTATCTATACAAATGTTTTATATCTATACAAATATCTTATATTTGTAACAGATACAAATGTAATAGATACAAATGTTTTGAAACAAAAATTTAGCAAATTAAAAATAGCAATGTGTAAAAACATAACAGTGTCATACTGTGAAAAATTTAGACCTATTTCTGCATAGCAGTAACAATTGAAAATTAGAACATCATCTAATGTAATTCATAATATTGACAGAAAAAGGAGAAAAAAGGTTTATGATAATTGCAATATATTCAAAATACTTTTGACAAAATTCAATGCCATGTCAAGATTTTCAAATGTCTTTTAGCAAAATATGAATAAAAATATTTAAAACATTTCTTTCATATCAAGAACAAGGTAAGCATGTCTGACACCTCTTTTACTCATTATTTTCTTAAATTCTCAGCCACTGAAATTAGAAGAGGAAATAATGAATAAAATTATAAATATTTAAAATAAATTGGAAATAAATAGGTCATACTATGCAGATAATGTGGTTTACATGCATAATGTAATCTAAAAATTATGAGAAGTATTGAAGTTTACTGATATAGAAAAAAAGTCAATATATAAAAATTATATTTCAAAATACTGACATTATAGATATGGATAATACAATTTCATGAAGAATATATATAACACAGTAACAAAATATAGATACCCAGCAAAAGATGTAACAATATATATGCAAGGCTTTGAATCATATTTTCAATTGAAGATATTGAAAATGACTTAATGGAGAAGTAAATGATGTATCATCTATTCAGTAGAGAGAAATAAAATAGGGAAAAAAGGAGAAGAGATGACTTCCGGAGGAATTTCCTTGAATAGTTGAGATAAGAAAGGATCAAAAATACAAGTTGAGAGACTATTTAGGTGAGAGCAGAAGAATAGCCAAATAATTCATCCATAGTAACAAGATAGGCAGATTATAAGGGTAGCATGTAGGGTGGATGGTGGGTGAGGTACTGGGTGCCTGATATATTGCTTTAGTTTTCTAAATAAAAGAGGAAGGAAAATCAAGAGTGATGATGGGGAGAAGGTTTAGAGGTTTGAGAAAGAAATATAAAATAATTGTGTAAAACAGTAGAAGGAAGAATAGAATATAGAAATGGTGATTAATAGCGATGAAATTAATGTGAGTAGAAAAATGTCTTTTTTTTTTTTTCCTCAAGATGCATGGTTTTAGTCTGAGAGTAGTTAGGTTGAATAAGCTAGGGTTAGAATATTCCCAAGGGGGCCAGGCATGGTGGCTAATGCCTCTAACCCCAGCACTTTGGGAGGCTGAGGCAGGTGGATCACCTGAGGTCTGGAGTTTGAGACCAGCCTGGCCAACATGGTGAAACCTCGCCTCTAATAAAAATACAAAAATTAGCCAGGTGTGGTGGCAGGCGCCTTTAACCCCAGCCACTCGGGAGGCTGAGACAGGAGAATCGCTTGAACCTGGGAGGTGGAGGTTGCAGTGAGCCAAGATCGTGCCATTACACTGCAGCCTTGGTGACAGAGCGAGCGAGATTCCATCTCAAAAACGAAACAAAAGAATTATTGCCAAGGGCATATGGAATAAGGAAAATAATATAATTGGCAGCTTAACCAAGGGAGAACAGTTGATCCTCTCAAATCCGTGTGTCCTGCATCCATGACTCAACCAACTATATATCAAAAATATTTTGAAAGACATAATTGCACCTGTACTGAACATGTGCAGACATTTTTCTTTGTCATTGTTCCCAAAACAACACAGTATAACAAATTAAATGGCATTTACATTATATTAGGTATAATAAATAATCTGGGGATGATTTAAAGTATATGGAAACATGTATGTAGGTTATGTTCAAATATTATCTTATTTTATACCAGGGACTTGAGCATTCATGGACTTTGGTATTCACAAGAGGTCCTGGAACCAATTTTCTGTAGATACAGAGGGATGACTCTATATGTAGTGATGAATCGTGACAGGAAATGTAGAATGTGGGTGACGGCCAATCAGGACAGATAGTGCGGAGGCATGAATTTTAGGGAGGAGAGAGCATCACTAGTCTGAAAGGATTGTAATGAGGAGAAAGGAGGGAAGTACCTAATGTTCAGGCTGGTGGAACAGAGATAAGAAAGTGAAAATTATCCATCACTTAAGAGATATACCTAATGCTAAATGATGAGTTAATGGGTGCAACACACCAACATAGCACATGTATACATATGTAACAAACCTGCACATTGTGCACATGTACCCTAAAACTTAAAGTATAATAATAAAAATAAAATAAAATAAAATAAAAGAAGGTTGTAAGAAGTCAGTACCCTCAGCACAGTGTGGGTTTTCTTCAGTGTATGAAGGTAAAGGAGTGATCAACGTTGGGATTATGAAGGATGTAGATTGACCCTGTGTTTCCAAAAGTACGGTGGAATTATTTTATTTCAGGAGTTGCAGAGAGGTAGGAAATTGAGTCAAAACAGGATATAAAGGTTTCCAGTGATGAGATTCCAGGAGATGGGGGATGTGCCGAGAGTCTTTGGAATACTTTACTTTGGATTTGAAAAAGAATATAGGACATAATTAAGTTAGTTATAACTGTCTTAAAACTTAGGATCATGCTTTAAAAAAATTCTGTATTGTTTTTCTTGCTAATCAGCCTTATGTTTTAAAAGCAGGTTTTAAGAGTATTTTGTCCAGGATTTTAGACATTCTGTATTGAGAACGTTTTTAAGTATATCTCATTTATCTCAAGAATCCTAATGAGATATTTGTTTTAAAACTATTCAATAATAATTTTGGATGCTTTATTTCTTCCAGACAGTATGTCATCTGCTGTTCCTAAATTTTAATGGATATAACCACCATCTGAATACTGAACTAATGCCCAGGCAGTAGTGTACTGTTTCTGATGGAATTTATATGCTCACTGACCTACCCTTTAATAGAAAGGGATATTCAGTGACGAGTGTCCTGAAAATGTATGGTAACAATAATGTCTTGTGGTTACAGTTTCTTTTGTTGGTTTAATTCTTTTAATTGTGTAAGTTGTTTTTTATTGTTTAGTTTGGTAAGCCAGGAGTAAAAGAGTGACATTGGAACATGACACAATAACACAGGGAACAAGGAGACTCTATTACCATCTGTTAAAAATGATTTGGTCAGGAGGCATTTTTATTAGATTTTGGTGCTTCCTGTGGCATGAGCCACCCAGATATGAGAACAGAAGTTTCAATTTTATTAATGCATGTATGGATGGATGTGAGTGTATGTATGTGAAATCTGTGCATCTCTTTTGAATCTTCCCTGGATAGAATGTCCCTTTTCATGAGGTAAAAGAGATAACAGCTTACTTAGGAGTTTAATCCAAGTGGTAAGTGGAAATTTTGAATTTTTTATAAGTCAGTATTGTCTTATTTTCTACTTCATACTGACACTTACGTGACTCCTCTTGGCTTATTTGACTTTCTACTGGAAAACACTTTCTGAAGGCTACAAACATAGGAACTTTATCCACAGCCTGAAGCTGTGGGTCTTGCCCTATTTATGGTATCTAATATATTTCTATGAGCCCTTCCTCCAGAATTCCTAAGAAAAGTCACTTTTATAGTTTATTTAGCCACACATTGATTACTCAAAAGCATTTTTTTCCCTAGCCACACAATAAGTAAAACTTACACATATAATATCTCATGATGTAGGTTCGTATATTTCCAGGAGAAAAACAAATTTAGTGTAGATAGATGCATACCAAACTGTTAATAGTCATTACCTCTGAAAGAAGGAATAATCAAAAAGGAGTGAGGGGACTCTTATATTGATTTATATTGTTTGACAATTTTATATGAAGCATGAATTTTATAATTAAAAACTGAAAACATAATGCTTAAAAAACCCACACTAGATTTTCCATATTGAGAAACAGATTAGGAAACTTAAGAACAGAAACATATAAATATATCTGGAGAAAGTCAAGCTTGAACACAGCTGAGTCATTTTGTGGAATGAATTTATACAAAAACAAAAGGAGAGTCAACAGTTCTGCTGCCACAAGGGAAGCCCAGAAATGAATGTAAGTTTATTTCAGGTACTTTAGTCAAGAAGGTAGGACTAGTTGATACTAGGGCACCCAATGTATTGTTTTAAGATCACACACACACACACACACACACACACACACACACACACACATTCACTTATTTGATCTTTGCATATCTCAGAATCAACACCAGAGATTGATATTCATCTGAAAGTAATGCAGTAATTAAATATTCTTTCTTTATATTATTCTTCATTTATTTATTCTTGCCTACTTATTTGGATTTAGGTCCAACTTGAAACAAAGATGAAGAGAACCATAAAACTACTTTACTGACCCATAACAAACTATCTATCTTCAATCCACATTTCCCCTAGTTTTGTCAAACTGGAACACAAAATCACCATTCTGTTTATGAACTTCATTGGCTTTCAACACAAGAACCATTGCACTATGAGGCTAATTGACCTCATGGCCATTTAGAAAAGAAGTTCGATTTACAATACCAGAAGTTTCACCTATAAAGTAATAGACAATTTTAGTTTAGAAAAAGCAATGACATGTTTTGGGCAATCTGATTCAATTCAGCCAATTTTTAAAAACATATTACTCATGTGGAACTTCAAAATTATATTGCTTTGACTCATCTTGCCTACTATAAAAGTTTGTCTTAATTTTTGTAGTGAATATCATTATAATGATAGAGAACATGTCTTAAACTTGAATATTGTCTAATATTGGTCTTTTTTTCTCTTAGGCATATCTCAAAATTATAAACACAAATTTAAAACAAATATGCTGTATTAGTAAGCTTTCTGCATTTGACTACTTCTCATAAAAAGCTATTTCTTAATATTATGTGATTATATATCTAAAGTCTGAAAGCGAAAGGTTAAATATGACTCTGCTGATCTAGTTTCTGTATAATATTGGATATTTTCCATGTTGATAGTAATCTAACTAATGAAATTACATAGAAGAAAAGAATAAACCAACCATGCCTAGCAGTCCATATTTTAAAGTATTTTTGTAAACTAGATAAAGTAATTGATACCTTTGCTGGACTAAACAGTGACACCTTTAAGAAAAGCATAAAATGTATTTAAAAGATATGCTTTTTATGAACACATTTTATAAACACATTTACCTCAATGGTTGACTGAAAAATAAAATGCAAGTCCCTTTGATCTTGAAAGCCTTTGATTCTTAGGATTTAGGAAAAATGCTGTGTGATTTGTAGGAAATGAAAAAATTGATTTGGGCACAGAGAGGAAAAAAATATACCAATACAGTAAAAAAAAACTGTGTGTGTATATATATATATAACATAATAATTCATTTATTAAACATATGGCAAAATGTTAGACATAAAAGTAAACATGATCATCTCTAAGTAAACTCATTTTTTTCTCTATACATTCTCCAAAATTTCTAAAATAGATTTGGGAAAATAGTGACAGTGTAAATTTGTGAAGAAAACAAAGCAACAAAGTAAATTATTTCTTTGTCAGGAATACTTTTTTCAGAATCAAATGCTATTAGTTATACATATCCTTTCACATTTGAACTACCCATTATATAATTCATCCATGCACAGTATGATATATGACATTAATCTTATTACAGAAACTAATACCTATTTAGGTCCTCTCATATTTTTTATTTGCTTCCCTTAATGCTGGCTGAAGCATGCAAAAAACTAAAATTAAATATAACTTTTTGAAAACCACAAAGTTCCCTCACTACTATCTCCATGACACTGGAGGAGGATTTTTTTTTAATCATCTTGAATGATATCAATTCTAACACCCTAGTAGTATGTCCCCTTTACCTCAGAGTTTTGAAATATATAACATAAGATCTGTGTCACCTAGATAACTTGCAGTTACTTTTCCAATCTAGATGTATATTCTTCCAGTCTGATCCTTTCATGATTTTGCAGTTCTATGTGGAACAGCATGATGTGGCTGCAGTTACTCTGATTCTGCTATCCCCATTGACAAGTGTAGTCATGGATTGGCTTCACTTTTTATAGAAGCAGAAGTTCTTAAGGGGGATGTTAAACAGTAATGTGACATCCATTTTGAAAAAGTAAATTGAGGCCTGATAGCCAGCGATTGTGCTGACGGCTTCCTAATTGTCTATGAATTATTGTGGTGGTACCGGAAGCTCTCATGATGAAACAAACATGTAGAGTCTAAGAATATTGTTGCTAAAAGCTCAGTCTTGATCCTACTCCTACAGCTCATCTAAAAATTCCACAAATATTAATTACCTATATTAAATCATTTTCTGCTAAATGCAACTTTATTCCAGCCAGTAAACCCGACCCAGTTAGGACAACAAAATTACGTAAAGGCCTAAATGACCCCCCGCCCACCACGATTGGAAACATATACATGCATTACTGAGTGTGAAAATCATACTCATTCTAGTGTGGGGATCCCCAGTTTCCCTGAATCATCCTACATTAAGGCCTGTAGAACTCCAATTTATTGGCTTTACTCTTCTCTTGCTTTTCTGAGTCTTCTCCCTTGGCCATTTTTTTTTCATTTTATTTTGGGTGTGGAAGGGCTGCCAGAGAGCAATACCAGAGCAGCTTTTGTTAGTTTAGCAGCTACCTATCTGTCCATCCATCCATCCATCCATCCATCCACATGGTAAATTCTAAATATGGAGGAGAGCACACCAATTCCAATTTGAAATGTTACTACACATTGCAGTCCTGTGCAATAGGTACTAGCACCAATGTGAGTCTTCATTTTAAGGAAGAATTTGAATGTATTATATTGATTTATTTCAGTAAGTTGAGTACATAAACATTTGCCAGGACTTTTTCCTATGCCCAGTATAGGGGAGTCATTAAGGTATTCTAATTTGATTAAATCTGTGCTTTAAAGAGACCACTCTTACCCTAATGTGGAGAATTGATATAAGCTGGCAAGAACAGGAGATGGTAAGACCAGTTAAAGAGGTTATTGAAGCAATTCAGGTTAGAGAGGATCAGGACTTGAATTCATACAGTGGTTATGGCATGAAGTGAGCTAGATGAAATCCCTGGATAGTAAAGAGGTAGAACCAGTAAGACTTTAGGTGTCATGAGGGATGTGGTGGGAATAGAATTGGTGAGGGAGAAGTCAAGGATTTTATCTAAGTAACTCCCTGAACAGCAGACTATATGGGTGGAGTACCATATCTGTGCTAAGAAAACCCAAGGGTAGAATAAATTTTTAATCTCTTTGAGTGCTAGATAAATGTAGCACTAATTTTAAAAAAGTTTATAATAACTTTCAAATATATTTAAAAGCAGCTAGAATAGTATAGTAGTATTGTCTTTCATAAATAGAAAATTTATTTCATCTTTTCCTCATTATTTTTCATTGTATTAATAAATATATATTAAAACAAATGGTGAAATATCCTTTTGCATGCTTTAGTAAATAGCATGCATTTCTAAAACTAAGGACATTTATTTTTGTATAACCATAATGCCATTTTCATACCCAATTAAATGGATAATAATTCACTAAATTTATCTATTCTGCAGAGCGTTATCATAAATTTGTGATTATTTTTATTTCTAACATTTTATTGAAGTAAATCAATCATATAAAGCAATGCGTAAATTCAAATTGTATGGTTCAGTGAATTATTATAAACTCACCTCCATAGCCAAAACTCATATCAAGAAATAGTAAATTATCACCACCTTAGATCTTTATTTTTGCCTCTGTAAATTAATACTTGCTTCTGTCTTTCTAAAGATGGCCATAATCTCAACTTCTAACACAGACTAGTCCTGCTTTATATTTTGTTTTATATAAATGAAATACAGGTTATATATTCATTTATATTTTTCGTTTGATGTTATGTTCATTATATTATTCCATGTCTGTATGCAGTTTTAGTTTATTCATTGTTAGAATACACTATGCCACTGTATAAACTTTATTCATTATACTGATAATAGCCATTTGATTTGTTTCTAATGTAGGGTTATTATGAATAATGCTGCTATGAATATTCTTATTGGTATCTTATGTTATATATACATATGCATTCTTAATATGTATTTAGTAGTAGTTATATGATTGGTCACAAAATATGTATATTCAACTTTAGTTCATAGTTAAAAATAGTTTCCAACTTTTATAAACAGTTTATAACAGTTTACACTCATGCCAATAGCCTATAAGAGTTCTAGTTGCTCCATGTCCTTTCCAACATGTCTGCATCTTATTTTAATCATTCTGGTTGTTGTTTATTTTTATTATTTTTTTTTAATTTTTTTTTATTATACTTTAAGTTTTAGGGTACATGTGCACATTGTGCAGGTTAGTTACATATGTATACATGTGCCATACTGGTGCGCTGCACCCACTAACTCGTCATCTAGCATTAGGTGTATCTCCCAATGCTATCCCTTCCCCCTCCCCCCACCCCACAACAGTCCTCAGAGCGTGATATTCCCCTTCCTGTGTCCATGTGATCTCATTGTTCAATTCCCACCTATGAGTGAGAATATGCGGTGTTTGGTTTTTTGTTCTTGCGATAGTTTACTGAGAATGATGATTTCCAATTTCATCCATGTCCCTACAAAGGACATGAACTCATCATTTTTTATGGCTGCATAGTATTCCATGGTGTATATGTGCCACATTTTCTTAATCCAGTCTATCATTGTTGGACATTTGGGTTGGTTCCAAGTCTTTGCTATTGTGAATAATGCCGCAATAAACATACGTGTGCATGTGTCTTTATAGCAGCATGATTTATAGTCCTTTGGGTATATACCCAGTAGTGGGATGGCTGGGTCAAATGGTATTTCCAGTTCCAGATCCCTGAGGAATCGCCACACTGACTTCCACAATGGTTGAACTAGTTTACAGTCCCACCAACAGTGTAAAAGTGTTCCTATTTCTCCACAACCTCTGCAGCACCTGTTGTTTCCTGACTTTTTAATGATTGCCATTCTAACTGGTGTGAGATGGTATCTCATTGTGGTTTTGATTTGCATTTCTCTGATGGCCAGTGATGATGAGCATTTTTTCATGTGTTTTTTGGCTGCATAAATGTCTTCTTTTGAGAAGTGTCTGTTGATGTCCTTCACCCACTTTTTGATGGGGTTGTTTGTTTTTTTCTTGTAAATTTGTTTGAGTTCATTGTAGATTCTGGATATTAGCCCTTTGTCAGATGAGTAGGTTGCGAAAATTTTCTCCCATTTTGTATGTTGCCTGTTCACTCTGATGGTAGTTTCTTTTGCTGTGCAGAAGCTCTTTAGTTTAATTAGATCCCATTTGTCAATTTTGTCTTTTGTTGCAATTGATTTTGGTGTTTTAGACATGAAGTCCTTGCCCATGCCTATGTCCTGAATGGTAATGCCTAGGTTTTCTTCTAGGGTTTTTATAGTTTTAGGTCTAACGTTTAAGTCTTTAATCCATCTTGAATTGATTTTTGTGTAAGGTGTAAGGAAGGGATCCAGTTTCAGCTTTCTACATATGGCTAGCCAGTTTTCCCAGCACCATTTATTAAATAGGGAATCCTTTCCCCATTGCTTGTTTTTCTCAGGTTTCTCAAAGATCAGATAGTTGTAGATATGCGGCATTATTTCTGAGGGCTCTGTTATGTTCCATTGATCTATATCTCTGTTTTGGTACCAGTACCATGCTGTTTTGGTGACTGTAGCCTTGTAGTATAGTTTGAAGTCAGGTAGTGTGATGCCTCCAACTTTGTTCTTTTGGCTTAGGATTGACTTGGCGATGCAGGCTCTTTTTTGGTTCCATATGAACTTTAAAGTAGTTTTTTCCAATTCTGTGAAGAAAGTCATTGGTAGCTTGATGGGGATGGCATTGAATCTATAAATTACCTTGGGCAGTATGGCCATTTTCACGATATTGATTCTTCCTACCCATGAGCATGGAATGTTCTTCCATTTGTTTGTATCCTCTTTTATTTCATTGAGCACTGGTTTGTAATTCTCCTTGAAGAGGTCCTTCACGTCCCTTGTAAGTTGGATTCCTAAGTATTTTATTCTCTTTGAAGCAATTGTGAATGGCAGTTCACTCATGATTTGGCTCTCTGTTTGTCTGTTATTGGTGTATAAGAATGCTTGTGATTTTTGTACATTGATTTTGTATCCTGAGACTTTGCTGAAGTTGCTTATCAGCTTAAGGAGATTTTGGGCTGAGACAATGGGGTTTTCTAGATATACAATCATGTCATCTGCAAACAGGGACAATTTGACTTCCTCTTTTCCTAATTGATACCCTTTATTTCCTTCTGCTGCCTAATTGCCCTGGCCAGAACTTCCAACACTATGTTGCATAGGAGTGGTGAGAGAGGGCATCCCTGTCTTGTGCCAGTTTTCAAAGGGAATGCTTCCAGCTTTTGCCCATTCAGTATGATATTGGCTGTGGGTTTGTCATAGATAGCTCCTATTATTTTGAGATACGTCCCATCAATACCTAATTTATTGAGAGTTTTTAGCATGTAGGGTTGTTGAATTTTGTCAAAGGCCTTTTCTGCATCTATTGAGATAATCATGTGGTTTTTGTCTTTGGTTCTGTTTATATGCTGGATTACATTTATTGATTTGCATATATTGAACCAGCCTTGCATCCCAGGGATGAAGCCCACTTGATCATGGTGGATAAGCTTTTTTATGTGCTGCTGGATTCAGTTTGCCAGTATTTTATTGAGGATTTTTGCATCAATGTTCATCAAGGATATTGGTCTAAAATTCTCTTTTTTGGTTGTGTCTCTGCCTGGCTTTGGCATCAGGATGATGCTGGCCTCATAAAATGAGTTAGGGAGGATTCCCTCTTTTTCTATTGATTGGAATAATTTCAGAAGGAATGGTACCAGTTCCTCCTTGTACCTCTGGTAGAATTCGGCTGTGAATCCATCTGGTCCTGGACTCTTTTTGGTTGTTAAGCTATTGATTATTGCCACAATTTCAGCTCCTGTTATTGGTCTATTCAGAGATTCAATTTCTTCCTGGTTTAGACTTGGGAGAGTGTATGTGTTGAGGAATTTATCCATTTCTTCTAGATTTTCTAGTTTATTTGCATAGAGGTGTTTGTAGTATTCTCTGATGGTAGTTTGTATTTTTGTGGGATCGGTGGTGATATCCCCTTTATCATTTTTTATTGCGTCTGTTTGATTGTTCTCTCTTTTTCTTTATTAGTCTTGCTAGCGGTCTATCAATTTTGTTGATCCTTTCAAAAAACCAGCTCCTGGATTCATTAATTTTTTGAAGGGTTTTTTGTGTCTCTATTTCCTTCAGTTCTGCTCTGATTTTAGTTATTTCTTGCCTTCTGCTAGCTTTTGAATGTGTTTGCTCTTGCTTTTCTAGTTCTTTTAATTGTGATGTTAGGGTGTCAATTTTAGATATTTCCTGCTTTCTCTTGTGGGCATTTAGTGCTATAAATTTCCCTCTACACACTGCTTTGAATGTGTCCCAGAGATTCTGGTATGTTGTGTCTTTGTTCTCGCTGGTTTCAAAGAACATCTTTATTTCTGCCTTCATTTCATTATGTACCCAGTAGTCATTCAGGAGCAGGTTGTTCAGTTTCCATGTAGTTGAGTGGTTTTGAGTGAGTTTCTTAATCCTGAGTTCTAGTTTGATTGCACTGTGGTCTGAGAGACAGTTTGTTATAATTTCTGTTCTTTTATATTTGCTGAGGAGAGCTTTACTTCCAAGTATGTGGTCAATTTTGGAATAGGTGTGGTGTGGTGCTGAAAAGAATGTATATTCTGTTGATTTCGGGTGGAGAGTTCTGTAGATGTCTATTAGGTCTGCTTGGTGCAGAGCTGAGTTCAATTCCTGGGTATCCTTGTTAACTTTCTGTCTCGTTGATCTGTCTAATGTTGACAGTGGGGTGTTAAAGTCTCCCATTATTATTGTGTGGGAGTCCAAGTCTCTTTGTAGGTCACTCAGGACTTGCTTTATGAATCTGGGTGCTCCTGTATTGGGTACATATATATTTAGGATAGTTAGCTCTTCTTGTTGAATTGATGCCTTTACCATTATGTAATGGCCTTCTTTGTCTCTTTTGATCTTTGTTGGTTTAAAGTCTGTTTTATCAGAGACTAGGATTGCAACCCCTGCCTTTTTTTGTTTTCCAGTTGCTTGGTAGTTCTTCCTCCATCCTTTTATTTTGAGCCTATGTGTGTCTCTGCATGTGAGATGGGTTTCCTGAATACAGCACACTGATGGGTCTTGATTCTTTATCTAATTTGCCAGTCTGTGTCTTTTAATTGGAGCATTTAGCCCATTTACATTTAAAGTTAATATTGTTAAGTGTGAATTTGATCCTGTCATTATGATGTTAGCTGGTTATTTTGCTCGTTAGTTGGTGCAGTTTCTTCCTAGCCTGGATGGTCTTTACATTTTGGCATGATTTTGCAGCAGCTGATACCGGTTGTTCCTTTCCATGTTTAGTGCTTCCTTCAGGAGCTCTTTTATGGCAGGCCTGGTGGTGACAAAATCTCTCAGCATTTGCTTGTCTGTAAAGTATTTTATTTCTTCTTCACTTATGAAGCTTAGTTTGGCTGGATATGAAATTCTGGGTTGAAAATTCTTTTCTTTAAGAATGTTGAATATTGGCCCCCACTGTCTTCTGGCTTGTAGAGTTTCTGCCAAGAGATCAGCTGTTAGTCTGATGGGCTTCCCTTTGTGGGTAACCCGACCTTTCTCTCTGGCTGCCCTTAACATTTTTTCCTTCATTTCAACTTTGGTGAATCTGACAATTATGTGTCTTGGAGTTGTTTTTCTCGAGGAGTATCTTTGTGGCGTTCTCTGTATTTCCTGAATCTGAATGTTGGCCTGCCTTGCTAGATTGGGGAAGTTCTCCTGGATAATATCCTGCAGAGTGTTTTCCAACTTGGTTCCATTCTCCCCGTCACTTTCAGGTACACCAATCAGACGTAGATTTGGTCTTTTCACATAGTCCCATATTTCTTGGAGGCTTTGCTCATTTCTTTTTATTCTTTTATCTCTAAACTTCCCTTCTCGCTTCATTTCATTCATTTCATCTTCCATCACTGATACCCTTTCTTCCAGTTGATCACATCAGCTCCTGAGGCTTCTGCATTCTTCACGTAGTTCTCGAGTCTTGGCTTTCAGCTCCATCAGCTCCTTTAAGCACTTCTCTGTATTGGTTATTCTAGTTATACATTCATCTAAATTTGTTTCAAAGTTTTCAACTTCTTTGCCTTTGGTTTGAGTTTCCTCCGGTAGCTCGGAGTAGTTTGATCGTCTGAAGCCTTCTTGTCTCAACTCGTCAAAGTCATTCTCCGTCTAGCTTTGTTCCATTGCTGGTGAGGAACTGCATTCCTTTGGAGGAGGAGAGGCGCTCTGCTTTTTAGAGTTTCCAGTTTTTCTGCTCTGTTTTTTCCCCATCTTTGTGGTTTTATCTACTTTTGGTCTTTGATGATGGTGATGTACAGATGCGTTTTTGTTGTGGATGTCCTTTCTGTTTGTTAGTTTTCCTTCTAACAGACAGGACCCTCAGCTGCAGGTCTGTTGGAGTTCGCTAGAGGTCCACTCCAGACCCTGTTTGCCTGGGTATCTGCAGCGGTGTCTGCAGAACCACGGATTTTCGTCATCCGCGAATGCTGCTGTCTGATCATTCCTCTTGAAGTTTTGTCTCAGAGGAGTACCCGGCTGTGTGAGGTGTCAGTGTGCCCCTGCTCGGGGGTGCCTCCCAGTTAGGCTGCTTGGGGGTCAGGGACCCACTTGAGGAGGCAGTCTGCCCATTCTCAAATCTCCAGCTGCGTGCTGGGAGAACCACTGCTCTCTTCAAAGCTGTCAGGCAGGGACATTTAAGTCTGCAGAGGTTACTGCTGTCTTTTTGTTTGTCTGTGCCCTGCCCCCAGAGTGGAGCCTACAGAGGCAGGCAGGCCTCCTTGAGCTGTGGTGAACTCCACCCAGTTGGAGCTTCTTGGCTGCTTGGTTTACCTAATCAAGCCTGGGCAATGGCGGGCGCCCCTCCCCCAGCCTCGCTGCCGCCTTGCAGTTTGATCTCAGACTGCTGTGCTAGCAATCAGCGAGACTCTGTGGGGGTAGGACCCTCTGAGCCACGTGCCGGATATAATCTCGTGGTGCGCCGTTTTTTTAAGCCGTTCGGAAAAGCACAGTATTCGGGTGGGAGTGACCCGATTTTCCAGGTGCGTCTGTCACCCCTTTCTTTCACTCAGAAAGGGAACTCCCTGACCCCTTGCGCTTCCCAAGTGAGGCAATGCCTCGCCCTGCTTCGGCTCGCGCACGGTGCGCGCACCCACTGACCTTCGCCCACTGTCTGCCACTCCCAAGTGAGATGAACCCGGTACCTCAGATGGAAATGCAGAAATCACCTGTCTTCTGCGTCGCTCACGCTGGGAGCTGTAGACTGGAGCTGTTCCTATTCGGCCATCTTGGCTCCTCTCAGGTCTGGTTGTTGTTTAGTGGCATCTAGTTTTGCTTTTAATTTGAATTTTCTTGAACTTTAACAATGGTGTGAGTCTTTTCTGCAGATTTATTGGTAATTCGGGTTGTTTAAATAAAATTCCATTTAAAAATCAGTGTTGTGATTCTTCCCCTTCATTTATTTCCCAGATGATAAAATTCAGGCCAAGAGAAGCAAAGACAGCAAAGACTGACATAAAAAAGAAACAACAAAAACAACTCTTGTTAATGATGTAGAATTAATCTGAATTCTCCAAAAACCTGCCTCTTTTGGAGGTAAGTGGGGTTCTAGGTTTGAATCTGTTTTCTGCCACTTTCCTGTGTAACCTTCAGTAAGACAATGCTCAAGCCTGTTCCCTTTTCTAGAAAATGAAATTAGGAAGGAATACCCCCATAAAGAGTTGAAAGAAGAAAATGCCTTTGTCTTTTTCTTATGATTAATTATTCTTTGTCTTATGTTTATGAGCCTTTTATCAGCTATACATGTTGCTAATATTTTTCACCCTTTTCACTCGTTTAGCAATCATAAAAATAGGCCGGGTGTGGTGGTTCACGCCTGTAATACCAGAAGTTTGGGAGGCCAAGACGGGTGGATCATGAGGTCAGGAGTTCAAGACCAGCCTGGCCAAGATGCTGAAACCCCGTCTCTACTAAAAATACAAAAATTAGCCAGGCGTGGTGGCATGTGCCTGTAATCACAGCTACTCAGGAGGCTGAGGCAGGAGAATTGCCCGAGCCTGGGCGGCAGAGGTTGCAGTAAGCTGAAATCATGCCATTGCACACCAGCCTGGGCAACAGAGCAAGACTCTGTCTCAGGAAAAAATAAAAAATAAAAAATTATATATATATATATATATATATATATATATATATATGTTTAATAGTATATGTAGAAAGTTTTACTTTGCTGTTTAGAATTATGATTTGGGGATATAAGGTAGACATCAAGTTATAGTTTCCATATCCAGACAACAAATTAAACATCATTTATTAAAATTGATCAGTAGTTTAGTTTTCACTAATGTCCTTACATAACATTAACAGCTACGAAAGTGTGGCAATGTTATTTTACCTAAAAAGTATATGTCAGTATCTGAAATGGTGGGTTACATATTAAATTAAACACTATATACTTGCTAATAAACCATATCTGAAAAATTTGACAACATATAGAACTATTCTTCATGTAATTTCAGTCATTTATTGAACATCTACTTGATATCCAGGCTACAGACTCTAAATACCTTGCCAGAATTACCAGAATCAACCTGGAACTTCATTAAAGAGAAACAGAAACATAATTTTTATGCTGCTTTCCTCTTCCCCAGTGTCACAAATACTCCACATGTACTACAATTTTCTGCTGAAACTCCAACTACTTTTTTGAATTTTAAGAAATGAAACTGCAAATTTAGAGATAGCATAAGATATATATATATATCTTATGTATGTATATATATAATATACACATACAACATACATACATACATAAAATACATATATACACACATATATCTTATGTATGTGTGTGTATATATATATGTGCCAAATCTATGTAAGCTAAGGATTTCATAATGTGAAGGTTGAAGAGTAAGAGTCTAACCAAAAGGGACATGTTTTCTTTTCCTTTTTGATACAAATAGAATAATAAATGATAGGAAGAAAGAGAGAGAAGGAGAGAGAGAGAGAGGGAGAGAGAGAGAGAGAAGGAGAGAGAGAAGGGTCGAAAGAGAAAGAGGGAGAAGGAGAGAGAGAGAGGGAGAGAGAGAGAGAAGGAGAGAGAGAAGGGTAGAAAGAGAAAGAGGGAGAAAGAGAGGGAGGCAAAGAAGGGGGGAAAGAGGGGGGAAGGAAACTAAGTTCTCTAGGTAGGTGAAGTGTTTTATTACAGAATGCTACTTGAGACAGTCTGCAGTCTGTTTGATAACATTGGTGAAGTTTTCAGTGCTGTGTTTAGCAAGTAAAGAAATAGACACTCAAAATCTTAGTATATATGCCCAATATGCACTCTATTAAGAAAGATTGTAATAACGGTGATATTACCCAGTGTCAATACACACACATACATACATACACGCACTCAGACTGGGATGGATGGGGTAAGAATTCCAATACAATCTTTAGTGAATTGTAACGTTTAACTATAATGTGGTGAGCTACAATACAGTTAAGTGGTGGCTTAATGTGAAGAGCAAGATACTTGCCATTATAATCACTTGGATTTTAACAATAATTTCATTTTTAGGGAAAATAATTGTGATTTTACTATTTCATACAGTTACACAAATGGTCATCGGGAAGTATCTGGAGATATGGCTATGTTCATTATCTAGATTTCACTGAACCAAACATACAATTGTATATTTCAATTATGTATAATTATGTGTTAATTATAGCTCAAAAGCTGCAGGGGAAAGCAATAAACCATATCTGAAAAATCTGACAACATATAGAACTATTTTTCATGTAATTTCGGTCCTTTATTGAACATCTACTTGATATAAAGACTAGAGACACTAAATAGCTTGCCAGAATCACCACAGAAATCAGCAATAGAGTATTTCTGCCTCTATGGAGAATATAGAACTGTGCTAGCTTCCTCAAAATGTATGTCCACAAATGGTGTCAATTCCATTCCATTAATCAGTTTCTTAAAATTCTTTAGTGGGAGTAAGTCAGAGTTCTAGAGTGTTGATATTTTTGTTGTTTGGGAATGTCTGTTTGCCTTAACTGATTGCAGTATATTTCAGGACTGATTTTTTTTTAATTTCTACTATATGAAATTTTAATTCCTAGAATATGAAAACAGTTTTTAAACAAAATCTTAATATGCACAAGAAATAAAACAAAAGATATAATTGGATTATCTATGACAGTTTTCTAGCAATATTTGAAAAATCTGGAATCTGGCTTATCTTATTCAATGTTATTCAGTTTGCCTCAGTTCCCTCTTACCTGCTTTCAGTTATCACCCTAACATTTAAGATCACAGGTGACATAAATAGGACTTGTGTATCAATATTTTTTGTTTTAGTTTTCAAATTCAGTGGCCTAAAGTTCTGCAAATATAATGTTTTTGTTCCTTCTCAGGTAACTGGAAGCCATGTATATACTTTTCTAAAAATCATACATTTGGTCATTCTTTGATTGAATTCATAATCAAATAATGTGTCTAATATCTTAGATAAAGACATTTGTTAAGTGCTTAGGACTTGAAGGATAAAGAGAATTGGACCTTTATGAGCATAAAAATGTATAGTTGATTTTTTTTGGTTGATGTTACATGGTCTGTTTTATAAACAAAAATTTTAAAATGACATTTTTGAAAAAGTGGGTAGGAATAAGTAGATAATTAAATCATGCTCACTTTTTTTCCCCAGGAATTTATAATCTAGAGAGGAAAATAGGCACCTGAGCAACATTTACAGGATAATGTAACAAATGCTCAAATGCAGATATGCATAGGTAGGTCCTATGGGGACACACAAGAGAACATAGTTCTCCCTGGTAATCAAAATGGCTTCACAGAGGAGACCATGGGTACAGAATTATATTTATGAAAGCTACCTGCAATGAGTTCATGGAGTCAGATCACTAAAAAGACTCCTAAAATCTTACATAATAATCTTAAAGGCAGGTTTAATAAAATAAAGATACAGTTCTAGTTCCACACATGAAAGAAGGGCAGGCAAGCATGAGAGTTGAAGAGAATTTCAGGTGTAGTTCCTCTAAGTCCTTTCTTAGGACAGACTTCCTCTCTTCATTATGAATCACCAATATATGTTCAAAGGGTCATGGTTTCAGGACAGTAAAGGCAGTAATTCGCTGCAGAGCCACTTATGCCACGCTGATTATGGAAGCAAGCCAGGTTGTTTAACCAATTATACCAAGTGTAAGACATCAATAAGCAAACCAACCCTGAGTACCACCACTGGAGTTTCTGACTTTTAAATAGAACTGTATAAATCATTAATTGTCTCACTCATTCTTATCTTGTTCAAAAGTTAGTACGAGACTTGCAGGTGTCCCCAGAAACAACAGAGATAAGCCTAGAGTTATCCCAGTTCAGCTGAAATCTATATTTTTACCACTGCTGAAAAAAACTATGATTTTCCTCATCTATTTCTCAAAAAAGTTACATGATATGTCAGGGAATGCCTTAACATCAAATTGTCACTCAAATTTACATTTTCCTAGATTACAATAAATATGAAATTATATTTAAAGTTAATTCAAATTAATTTTAAACCATGTCTTTTAAATTCTTCCTATTAAAACTGATATAGGCTTTTAGGGGTGACAGGAAACCAAAGTAGATGACAAATTGAGTCTTAAAAGCAATTAGTATTTCAGAAATAATTTGACCATGAATGACAGGGTAGTTAGAGATGAAGTAAACTGTCAAAAAACAAATACTAAAAGCAATGTATCTGTAAGTCAAATATTTTAAGTAGTCATATTATACATTGTATTAATCATCTTTAACATTATGTTCAAAGATGATTACTAGACAAACTAAATTTAGATAATGCAACAAAAAGCATTCAAATATCGACATTTTTGAAATGGAATTTTCACTTATGTTTAATAAGGTTATTCCCTAGGACCTGAAAAATACCAATGTGTGGGTTCCATTCCAAGAGATCCTTACTGGAGCTGGAATTATGCTAGGTATTGGTATCCATTTTAATTGATTTAGAATGCCACTGAATACTGGTAATTTTAGAGTTCTCCAAACATTCTAGTATGAAGACAAGGTTAATCTCTAGTCTACACGGTGGCAAAAACGCCTTTTTGAAAACAGTAGTGTTCAAAGTTGGCTGTGATTAACTGTGATGTAGGAAATTATAAATTCTGATACCAGGGGTTCTGCCTACACTTATGTGTAATCTCTGGAAATAGTTGAGGAAAGGAGATTCCAATAATCTGTTTTTTTAAATATTTTATAAATGATTTTGACAAACAGATGAGAACCATTGCTTTGAAATACAAATTTTTACTTAATCCTAACATCTTTTCTGTATTATTTTATTAAAATCATGAGGAATATTTTTTTCGTTATATAACATGGTATAACTTCTTTGACTTATTTTATTTTATTTATTATTTTTATTTTTTTTTTTTGAGACGGAGTTTTGCTCCTGTTGACCAGGCTAGAGTGCAATGGCGTGATCTTGGCTCACTGCAACATCTGCCCCCCGAGTTCAAGCGATTCTCCTGCCTCAGCCTCCAGAGTAGCTGGAATTATAGGCGCCCACCACCATGCCCAGCTAATTTTGTATTTTTAGTAGAGAGACGGTTTCTCCATATTGGTCAGGCTGGTCTCGAACTCCCAACCTCAGGTGATCTGCCCACCTTAGTCTCCCAAAGTGCTGGGATTACAGGCGTGAGCCACCACGCCTGGCATTTCTTTGATTCTTAAATTCTGTTTATATTTTTAACTTTTTTATGATTGGAGTGCACATCCTAAATATCTGCATGTGATTTCTCAAGGTAATTTATCAGAAAATATAGTTTTTACTGAAATGGGGGGTGATTAAAGCAACATGGTTGATGGACCTCTTATATTCAGCATGCAAAGGATTTAGTAACATGCAAATTGTTTAACAGTGATGTAGTTAAATTTTCCAGTAAAATTGGTTATGGTACCCCAACTAGAAAGCAGCAAACAACTTTCTGAGGGGTGTTTTCCCTGTCATTTGGAGATATACATTTATTAAGTTGACATAAATAGAATTTCTGAATTGCATCAATATTATGAGTGGAGAACAATAACTCAAGTGAGAGAATAATAACAGTATTTACAGAGAGGCAGGGAGCATTTGAAAGCACACTAGAAATAGACACTGCATGTAGGGGATGGGGAAGTTTGTGGTTTATGTTTAACTCCGAATGGAGTGCTGTTCCTCTCTTTTCCTCTTATTACTTTCTATTTTTTAAAATTGTCTTCATCCTATTGATACTCCTTACCATCTTAATCCATTAAAACTCATGCATCTAGAGGAAAAAGCAAATGCAAAAAATGTAGAGTGGATGTGGTAACTAATAAATGATCTTGATTAATTTTTATTTGGTGGCTAGTATTAGAGTTTTATTCCTCAAAACCTACTGCTTTAAACTTGCAAAATATAAAACTGCAAAAAGTACCAAGACTTTACATTCATTTGTTTTGCAAACATTAATTGCACACTAGTTTGATGATATAATGGTTTTCTGACCTTGTAAATCTACAGATATAATGTCTACATTTGAGTAATATAACACCCACATTTATTGGTGTCAGTGTATAAAACTATGTTTGTAAATGTGTGCTTCTGTAGTCAAACATGCATATGAACACTATTTTACATTCCTGAATTTTTTTTCATTATGTTTAATGATAGATCTTCATATCATACTCCAATTGCTTTAGAAGCTATATTGACATAACTTTCATGGCAGACAGGTATGAGTTATATTCATGTAAAAAGCAATCCAACACAGGTTGCAAGGAAAGAGTGATTGGACATTTATTGAATGGTTGTGTGTGCCAGGTATCAGATGTTTTAATGCACAATGCACAAAATCTCACACTATCAGTCTTTAGGCCCTGTTGGTTCTTTCTACTAAATATATCTTGATTTTTTCTTTCTCTTCATAACACTACTTGTTTTTGAATGATTTCAAGTATAAAACATTAGCTCCTTGTTGAGATACTCCAATTACTTCCAAACTGCCTTTCCTGACAAGAAGTTTTATTTTAACATTCTACCATCAATAGTTATCTTTCCCAATCACAGATTAAATGCATTTGTCTCTTGGAATCATAAATAGTTTGTCTTTGCAATAAATGAGATATAAGATTATTAATGACTTACATGCAAGCCTCATTTACCGCAACTTTTATCAATTCTTCTCCCACTTTTCTACCCTAAATGTACCCTATGATTGAATTAGTTACAAATTCTAGCATATGGGTGCCATTGTCTATGAAATTCTATTCAACCAACTCCCTTGTCCTTCTCTCAAAACACCAGTTACCTTTAACAACTTCCGCAACAGTCCAGACTGTGAGTTACATCCTTCTCAATGTTCCCATAGCACTGAAGACATGGCAGTCAGCACCTATAAAGACTGTTGAGTCTTGATCTAATCAACATTATTTCTTCAAAAGAGAGCACAAATTTTATATTTCTCCAATTAAGTGTATTTCTCTGAAAGATAAATTAGATTATGACATCAAAAAATCCTTGCATGAGATTTTACAGAGAGCAATTCAAGCTACTTTCCAGTTTTCTATCATCATAATCATATACAAGTCTCTAAATTACTATGAACCTTACTCACCTTATCTTTAAAATCATTGTAGTGAGATAATATAATGAAATATTAATCTGTTTTTTTTTTTCTGATCCTCTCTTATGTGTGGCCCTGCCGCTATCCAGGAAAAAACTTCCATTTAGTCAAGGAAGATTGAGATTGGCCAATTTATCCTTATTTCGTTCTACTTCCTACATATTTGAAAGAATTTCAAAACCATGGCACAGAAAAGAATTTTAAAAGGCAACTCTTCCATTTTGTAAGAGGGGAATTATGAAATAGAGAATATGTTTTGGGGCCAAAAGCACAGAAATCAAAATTTCAGGCATAAAATTTAAAACAGAATCCTTCACAACTTTCTTGTATGCTAGAGAATACATAAGGACTACCAGAGAGGTGATAAAATGAAAGTGATACACGTTGGTAGAATTACAAAAAGAAATGACCACATAAGGCTGCTAGCTAGGGACAGATTACACTGGGAAGTTAATGGAAGGTCCTGGAATCTTGATGATCAGAGATTATGAAACAAGTGCTCAATTGCATATCTATTTACTCTGAAAGGAAGCAAGACTCTCAAGATTTTACTTCCAAATCTTACAAAATTCATACCCCAAAATAACAGTTTTTGTATGTATTCTATTTCCATTATTACAACCAAGTAAAACTAAGCTTGTGAGCAAGCTTTATAAATTGCAAAGTATAAATAATTTTTATGAAGATAAAAATATTGCTTAATTTTATATTGTTCCCTTCATCTATACTATATTTCCTGAATTTATTAAAATTTTAACAAGATAACTTTTTTACCTACAATACTTTATTAACCAAGAACAAAGGTGAAGTCAATTTAGAAGATGCCAGAGCAAAAGAGGAGACCCACTTTTGTCTCTCATCCTTAGGTGAGTAGAATCATAAGTCAGTGTTCTCTTAAAGGAGTTGTGAGTTGATAAAAGAATTATTTTATATAATTTTGGTGCTTATGCTGGTCATGGGTCCCCACTAATTAGTTTATATGCTGTTTATTTAGCAGCTATTTTGATATATAATATCAAATAATTTGATGGTATATTATAAAGTCAACTTAGAAGTGTCCATACATCTTCTTTGTTCTCTATATACCTTGCCGTGCCCTTCAATTGCAATTCTCTCTTTACCCAGGTTCCTAAACAAATATCTTAGAAGTAAAGAGGATAAAAACATTTCCTTGGCTCAGGCTAAATCGAAACATAAAGTGACATAGAAATTTGACTACTATCATTTAAAAAGATCCATCTCGATAGCCAAACAATGTCAAAACAAAGAAAATCAAATTTTCTAGACTGATTAAATAAAATGGATAGTTGTCTTATGCCCACTTCTTTTTCCTATCTATGTACACAAAGCTAATTCTAAATGACAGTGTGATGTGTAATCATCTCTGCAGTCTGCATACAACTTAAAGATACTTATGTATTCTAAGAAATCTTAGTCCCAGATGAAAAATAGAAATGCATTTTTATGTGCATGTATTTTCCATTGTAATAAGTGACAACATTTGTTTCAGTTTTGAAATGATGGTTGTCCAATAGAAACCTGTCATTTAAAATAGCAAGAAGTCTTTTTGGCAACTGTTTGCTTAATCCCTAGCTTACTCCAGAGTCAGGGGAACAGAAAAAGAAGAAATGAAGTAGATTAGTGTTTTCTACTCTATTATATGACTCTATACAATTGCTTTTCTTTTCTATTTAGCTCTCCTTTGTCTGTCCCCAGCCATCATATTGGCCCCAAGTTAGGTATAAATGGACTGGGGAGGGAGGTGGACAGTTTCAAAGACAAAATATGACCTATTTCTTATTATTTCTTACCAGAATTGAGTATGTGCAAAACATCATGACATGAAACTGTTGCATGGTTATTGTTCTTGGGCAATTGGAGCAAGATTACTCCCTTACTAAGTATTAATAGAATACTAAACACTTAAATCATGGTCATCCTATGCCTGAGTCAAATGAATTTTGCCACTGTGCAATTATTAACGCTGTGCAATTGTTAAAGTTTTCACTTTCTAGTCTTTGGCATTCTGGTTTCTTATTTTTTTCTTGTTTAAAAATTACATTAGAATTCTTCAATAATCTCAAATGCAAATGCATGATTACTCTTCCAGCATGTTTCCATTAAAGATACTTTACAGGATGATCGATGCCATATTTCTAGCCTTATTTCCCAGAAACCTTCACTTATATATTGTGCTTCATAATTGACAACTCTGCATTCTCCTGACAGACCCAAAGAGCCCCTCTCCTGGGTCATTTGATCATGAGTCTTCCTGGATAATCTCGCTATGGCCTACACAACTGAAGGCATTATGAACCCTAACCCCATTTTCGAGGGTAATTATATACATATCTCATCTCTCCTACTATCATTTTCTTATTTGATGCCTTTGTCAACTCTTGCCTGGACGGTTCTGACACCAGCTTTGTAATATGCGGAATTACCACTTGTGCTGTTGTCTCTGTGTTTCATCACTATAAGAAATTTTACTTGTTACTCCTTGATTAAAATTCTCTACAAACTACAGAAAAATTGAAGTCTTCTTAGCATGGAATGAGGTCCTCATTAATTCATGCCATATTACTTATATAGTGTCATCTCCCAAAGGCCAGACTGGAAGTCTTCTACCTCATCAATCCTGAATTACTTGTATTTACACTTCATATGTCTTGCTTACCTCTATCTTCTGCCTAGTGCCTGCTCTCTTTATATCTGCAACTTAGAATGTTCTACTAAATTATAAAAATACAGATCTATGGTAGGCACAATTCTAAGATGGTCTCCAGTGTTACTGCCCCCTGTCTTCCCACCTGTTTATTGCATGGGACTTGAGAATATGACAGATTTTACTCCTATGCTTAGGTTTTTTGATATGGCACAGGTGACTTTAAGAGAAGGAGATTATCTTCAATGGGCAGAATCTAATTAGGTGAAACTTTAAGAGGCAGGATCTTCCTGGAAAAAGAAATATACAGCATGAGAGAAACTCAACATGAGGAAGATTCTTCTTTGATAACTTTGAAACTGGAGGGGATTATATGGTAAGGAATGTGAGTGGCCTCTAGAAGCTCAGAGAAGCATGAAGATGATAGTTGGTAATTAAATGGAACTTCTGTCCTATAACTAATAAGTATTGAATTTAGTCAAACCACATGAGCTTAGAAAGAAAATCTCAAACCTTACGTGAGAACACAACCTGGCCAATACATTTGTGTTACTACTGTGAGATCCTGAGCAGAGAGCCCATTAATTTGTGACTGGATTTATAATCTAGAAATACTATAAGATAACAAATTAGTATGTCTTAAGCCACTAAATTTATATTAGTTTTATATACAGCAATAGAAAACGAATACAAATGTGAATGTGTTTTCTCGAGACATCTTCTCTCCATTCCAAGAGTGGCTTAAGTGTTCACTTATTGCTCTCCTTTCAATTACCACTGCAATATCATAGTAAGTTATAGTTCATTTTTCCTCACACACAAAGAAATTCCACCTAAGTGACTTTTTATGGGGCAGACAGCATTTGTAATTAACTTGAATTGAATAATTCAATGAGGAGAGAAGGTATAACAGATGTTTTATATACCTACAGACATAGATACACATAGAAATAATTTATTTTCTGGCATTTATTTCAGCAAAAAGTTTACTACTGGTAGCAATGAGTCTACTAAATTCTAATAGAATCCTCCAATAAATGGAACCATGGCTTCCAGAATAGCTGATTCTAGGATTGGGGCAGGGAACATGCAAGAGGATCTTGAAGTAAGTTGCCAAAATAAAGGAAGTGCTAAAAACACTATTCACAATAGCAAAGACACAGAATCAATCTAGGTGCCCATCAATGGTGTACTGGATTTAAAAAATGTGGTACTTATACACCAAGGAATACTATACAGCCATAAAAAGAATGAAATCACATACTTTGCAGCAACATGGATGCTACTGAAGGCCATTATCCTAATTGAATTAATCCAGGAACAGAAAACCAAATATCACATGTTCTCACTTATAAGTGAGTGTTATACATGGGGTACTCATGGACATAAATATAGCAAGAATAAACACTGAGGACTTCTATAAGTGGGGGAGAGAGGGAGGGAGAAAAGGGTTGAAAAACTGTGGCTACTATGCTCACTATCTGGTTGACA
This sequence comes from Homo sapiens, assembly GCF_000001405.40. NCBI lineage: Eukaryota > Metazoa > Chordata > Mammalia > Primates > Hominidae > Homo > Homo sapiens. The sequence goes on along the minus strand of NC_000006.12, from coordinate 94,812,656 downwards.
GGATCATTTATATCTCAAACCTTAGCATCATGCAGTACACCCATGCAACTTACCTACCTATGTACTGGTTGAATCTAAAATAAATGTCAAAATTATATAAAGCTTTAAATACAAAAAAGATGAAGTACTACAAACAAATATGGAAAATACAAACAAAAAAAATTGATGGGTATGTGTCAAAGGACACAAATACCAAATTAAAGAGCTCCCAGGGGCCTAAACTGGAACAATATGAGCAACACAATATATAAAGCAGTATTAGGTTATGCTCAGATTATTAAATAAACCACCATTATATATATTGCTATAAATAAATGATTAAATAAATACATGGAAGAGATTAGATCAATTTTTCATGCAAAATTATTCCAAATATTTTATGTAGATACTCCACACTCCAGGAGTATTATAACTCTACCCCTTAACAGGAAGCTATGTATAGTTACTTCCTTCCAAACAATATTGTATGGAAAGGCAGAGGAAAGAACAACTTTACAGTGAAGAAACCTGACAAACATTGCCTAAGCCAGTGGATCAGTGTCAACACCGATTGTGATAAATTATATTGAAAATATCTACTTTCAATATACGTTGTGATGAAAATGACACTTTACCTCTGTGGTTTTCTTCCCCAAAACACGTAACCCTAGTCTATACGTGAGACAAACATCAGTTAACTCCCAATGGACAAATCTACAAAATACCTAGCCAGTTCTCCTGAAAACCGTGAAGGTCATCAAAAATAAGAAAACTGAGACACTGACACACTCAAGAGAAACTTAAGATGACTACATATAGTTGGATCCTGGGAAAGAATAAGGACATTAGGTAACACTATGAAAATCTGAATAAAGTGTAGGCTTTAAGTAAACAATAATGCATCAATGTAGGCTGATTAGTTATGACAGGTTTCTGACATCGGTATTAGATGTTCATTATAGGAGGATTTGGATTTGAAAGTATGGTGATTCTCTGTACTATCTTTGTAATTTTTCTAGAAAACCAAAATTATTCCAAAATTTTAAAAAATATGTTTAAAATTGATCTGAAAATCAAAGAGGGAATAACTATCATTTAATTATAAAGGAAGGCACTGTAAATAGCTAGAAGGAATTTTTCAGCATATTAGATTCAACCTGTGGATTCTTCAATGCTTACAAGCTGTGGTTTAGAGATGACAAATGGGAGTACATTTTGTGCCAGAAATTTGGAAGCAACTTTTGCCAATATTTCATTGATGTGTATTTAAATTTAGCTCAAAACTATTTGGATCAGATATATCTTAGTTTTAATGTTTGTTTTACAAATAACACGAGAACTAGGCTATCTGCTTTCTATTGATGGAAAACCATTAATTTAAATGCTAATAACAGCCTAACAAGGTTAACACTTGTAATCCTTACAGTAACTGAACAAATCAAATGCAACAAATACACAATTTAAAATGAGCTTATCCTTTAGTTTATTTTAGGATATATATGCATGGCCAATTTTATTAAAACTTATTTTAAATATAATCAACACAGCAATCCCTTTGACATTGAGAGGATTAATAATAATTAATGATAATTTGTAAAAAGGAGCACCCAGTTAGCTGGATCACCAGTTATTTTGAATTGTAATCCTGTAAAAACACAATAAAATTTGTTCCAACCTTCACCTTTTAGTACATCCAATTTCTATCTGTCCTCCTGTTATCATTCTTGGAGGATCAGTTTCATCTACTACCTGTCTACTGTACATAAACTGTAATACTCTTACAGTGATGATGAACTAAATTGATACTCAGATGTGACAGAAGTCATCTATAATGTTCTTGAAAATATCCCACACATTAAATTGTAAAATAGAAGAGCTTTGTTTCTGCCCCTGAAAGCAAGGATAAAATATTATAGATAACACTGAAACTGGTAGCGGACATACATTGTTAGTAATGTTAAATGAACATTTACAGTTTTGTATAGAGGAGCAAACCTATGCCACAAAATTTCTTCTCACTCTCCCAAGGTCATTGCTGTTCTGTAATATCTATAGTTGACATTGCCATTAACCCTTCCTTTTGTCTCTAACATATTGAGGTCATTCTGTATTCCTTACTCACCTCAAATCTCATGTCTTTGTTAGTCATTAAGTGCAGGTGATTATTTTTCTTATATGTGAGAATTTAAGAGAAACTGGGGTGCCACTGCAGGGTATTTTGACGAGTGTATTCAGGAACACAGGAGTATTCTAATCTTGTCTTGGCAGAATCACCAACCTGCCCCCACATACTCTAGGATGAAAATAAACATAAAAAAAGGAAATAAAAGATACTTTTATATTGTTAGCTTGGCTTTTACTAGAAATGACACTCTGGTGAACTGAGCTAAAAACGTGTTTAGGCTTAGTGAAAAAGCTACAGTTGGGAAGTATAATTATTTCTATGCCCTTTCATTCAGGCTAATACATTTTCTTCACAGTTACTCTCTCATGCACCTCTGATCCCTCACAATTATCAACTCTCAAGCAGCAGGAATTGCTAGGGAATCCGTATGAAAACCAAAAACTGAACCAGACACTATGATGTTGGATAGAAGAGGCTGATCACTGGTCTGCGGGTGAAAAACATCCCACTATGCTAGAAACGGGGGACAACTAGCTGGATCCCTAAAGTAGAATGATGTAATAAAACCCATGCCCTCTGTACCAGGTCTCTGCATCCTTATCTCATCCTGAGGATCCACAGACACATCTTATTTCATTCAATCTCATTAAACAAAACTTCATTTTCTTTTATAAACCTTCCAATCTACAAAGAGACTCCCTACGGGGATGATGGATTCTTGTGGAAGAAATTTCTGCCTCATCTCTTGATACACTACCATGTGCTCAAAGACCTGGTATCCTGGAATCTGCATTAGATAGCACAACAGTGGTGTAAGCCTAACTGCAAATTTGGAAATAAAAAGTTATGTTTTATATTAGGCAAATTCTGACAACTTCTAGCTTAATTTAGTGGGTGGGGTTTTGAGTAGGAAGAGTTGGCCTCTCCTTGACCATATTCTTAAATTTCCAGGTCATACTCCTGAATACAATCACAAAACTAATTGATGTGTTGGTAAACCTTTTCTCATTAGCTCAGAGTCATTCTGTTCTATGCCCAGTAAACCTTGTCTACCTGTGGACATAGACTACTAGTTTTATGCTTGGCTATCCTGACAGTGTATGTCATTTACTTGGTAACTTTAAACTGGGTATCCTCTTTTATTATTAATTCTTAAGTTCTATGAATTTTATTTTTTTTAATTTGTGTGTGTGTGTGTGTGTGTGTGTGTGTTCCAGGTTACATGTACAGGATGTGCAGGTTTCTTACATAGGTAAGCATATGCCATGGTGGATTGCTGCACTTATCAGTCCATCACCAAGGTACTAAGCCCAGCATGCATTAGCTCTTCTCCCTAATCCTCTTCCCACCACCAGCCTTCCCCAACAGGCACCAGTGTGTGTTGTTCTCCTCCCTGTGTCCATGTGTTCTCGTTGTTCAGCTCCCACTTATAAGTGAGAACATGCGGTGTTTGGTTTTCTGTTCGTGCGTTAGTTTGCTGAGGTTGGTGGCTTCCAGCTCCATCCATGTCCCTGCAAAGAACATGATCTTTTTCCTTTTTATGGCTGCATAGCATTCCGTGGTGTATATGTACCATATTTTCTTTATCCAATCTATCATTGACAGGCATTTGGGTTGATTCCATGTCTTTATGATTGTGAATAGAGCTGCAGTGAACATATGTGTGCATGTATCTTTATAACAGAATGATTTATATTCCTTTGGGTATATATACAGTAATGAGATTGCTAGGTCAAATGGTATTTCTGGTTCTAAATCTTTGAGGAAGCACTACACTGTCTTCCACAATGGCTTAACTAATTTACATTCCCACCAACAGTGTAAAAGTGTTCTGATTTCTCTGAAACCTCGCCAGCATGTGTTGTTTCTTAACTTTTTAATAATTGCCATTCTGATTGGTGTGAGATGGTATCTCGTTGTGGTTTTGATTTTTATTTCTTTAATGATCAGTGATGTTGAGTTTTTCTCATATCCTTCTTGGCCGCATGTATGTCGTTTTTTGAGAAGTTTCTGTTCATATCCTTTATTCACTTTTTTTTCTTGTAAATTTGTTGAAGCTCCTTGCTTAAGACCTTTGTCAGATGGGTAGATTGCAAAAATTTTCTTCCATTCTTTGGTTGTCTGTCTGCTCTGATGATAGTTTCTTTTGCTGTGCAGAAGCTCTTCAGTTTAATTAGATCCCATCTGTCAATTTTGCTTTTGTTGCAATTGCTTTTAGTTATTTCTTTTATTATTATTATTATAATTTAAGTTTTAGGGTACATGTGCACAATGTGCAGGTTTGTTACATATATATACATGTGCCATGTTGGTGTGCTGCACCCATTAACTCGTCATTTAACATTAGGTATATCTCCTAATACTATCCCCCCTCCCCCCACCCCACAACAGGCCCCGATGTGTGATGTTCCCCTTCCTGTGTCCATGTGTTCTCATTGTTCAATTCCCATCTATGAGTGAGAACATGCAGTGTTTGGTTTTTTGTCCTTGCGATAGTTTGCTGAGAATGATGGTTTCAAGCTTCAACCATGTCCCTACAAAGGACATGAACTCATCATTTTCTATGGCTGCATAGTATTCCATGGTGTATATGTGCCACATTTTCTTAATCCAGTCTATTATTGTTGTACATTTGGGTTGGTTCCAAGTCTTTGCTATTGTGAATAGTGCCGCAATAAACATACGTGTTCATGTGCCTTTATAGCAGCATGATTTATAATCCTTTGGGTATATACCCAGTAATAGGATGGCTGGATCAAATGGTATTTCTAGTTCTAGACCCCTGAGGAATCGCCACACTGACTTCCACAATGGTTGAACTAGTTTACCGTCCCACCAACAGTGTAAAAGTGTTCCTATTTCTCCAGATCCTTTCCAGCACCTGTTGTTTCCTGACTTCTTAATGATCGCCATTCTAACTGGTGTGAGATGGTATCTCATTGTGGTTTTGATTTGCATTTCTCTGATGGCCAGTGATGATGAGCATTTTTTCATGTGTCTGTTGGCTGCATAAATGTCTTCTTCTGAGAAGTGTCTGTTCATATCCTTCACCCACTTGTTGATGGGGTTGTTTGTTTTTTTCTTGTTTGAGTTCATTGTAGATTCTGGATATTAGCCCTTTGTCAGATGAGTAAATTGCAAAAATTTTCTTCGATTTTGTAGGTTGCCTGTTCACTCTGATGGTAGTTTCTTTGCTGTGCAGAAGCTCTTTAGTTTAATTAGATCCCATTTGTCAATTTTGGCTTTTGTTGCCATTGCTTTTGGTGTTTTAGACATGAAGTCCTTGCCCATGCCTATATCCTGAATGGTATTGCCTAAGTTTTCTTCTAGTGTTTTTATGGTTTTAGGTCTAACATGTAAGTCTTTAATCCATCTTGAATTGATTTTTGTATAAGGTGTAAGGAAGGGATCAAGTTTCAGCTTTCTACATATGGCTAGCCGGTTTTCCCAGCACTATTTATTAAATAGGGAATCGTTTCCCCATTTCTTGTTTTTCTCAGGTTTGTCAAAGATCAGATGGTTGTAGATATGCAGCATTATTTCTGAGGGCTCTGTTCTGTTCCATCGGTCTATATCTCTATTTTGGTACCAGTACCATGCTGTTTTGGTTACTGTAGCCTTGTAGCATGGTTTGAAGTCAGGTAGCATGATGCCTCCAGCTTTGTTCTTTTGGCTTAGGATTGACTTGGCAATGCGGGCTCTTTTTTGGTTCCATATGTACTTTAAAATAGTTTTTTTCCAATTCTGTGAAGAAAGTCATTGGTGGCTTGATGGGGATGGCACTGAATCTATAAATTACCTTGGGCAATATGGCCATTTTCATGATACTGATTCTTCCTACCCATGAGCATGGAATATTCTTCCATTTGTTTGTATCCTCTTTTATTTCATTGAGCAGTGGTTTGTAGTTCTCCTTGAAGAGGTCCTTCACATCCCTTGTAAGTTGGATTCCTAGGTATTTTATTCTCTTTGAAGCAATTGTGAATGGGAGTTCACTCATGATTTGGCTCTCTGTTTGTCTTCCTTCCTTAGTTCATATCATAAATGTTTTTATTCTCTAGGCCTCCAGTCTTTATCTTCTTCCCATGCATGCTTCAAATTTTCCGAATCAATCATACATATGGTGTAAAAATAAGTGAATAACGGATAACAATTAAAAATAAGCCATTAACAAACTACCAACTTATCAACTATCATCGTATGTGATGAAATCTTCCAAAAGTGAATATTCCAAAAGTGATGCCTTTATTCCACAAGAGCCTGCTCTGAACTACAACAGTCTGTTGGGCATTTCCAGCTGGATATCAAGTACCTCAAAAGCAACATGACCAAACTGAACTCGATACTTACATTCCTGGTTTCCCTTTCACCTTCTAATCAGTTCATCTTGCTATATCCTATGCCATATTAAATAGTTATGTCATCATCTAATCCAAAATATCAGAGCCATCATAAAATTATCCTAAAGAGCATCCAACAAATAACAAGAATTAGCTAAGTTTAGCTTCTTAACCCCTTTTCTCTTGATCTACAATTTCTAAATTTAGTTCTTTATCATGATCCTAATATAAACTATATAATACTTTGTTATCTGGCTCTTTATTATACTTCTAGAGTTGAGATTCTTCACTCTTTGGTTCACGTTATATTTTTGTTAAATATATTATTTTCTGTTTTTCTAAATATGCCATATTCTCATTCATCCATGTTGCTGAAAATGCTATTTATTTTGCATCGAATATCATTTCCCGGGTCCCACTTTTTATTGCCTATCAGAGTTCAAATCATGTCACAATTTTCATAAGTGTGTCAGATTATTGTTATAGCTAGATAACTTCCCTCCAGTCTCTGACATCATGAAATAAAATATTCTCTGGTACTTTAATATTTATATTACTTTCTAATGTAGAATCTCTCCACCAAACTGTGAGAACTGTAATTCATACTGTTAATATTTTTCTTGTAAATTATATATTAATAAATGTCAAACATACTTTAAACATTAATAGACAGATTGTCTTATGCAAGCTACAATGCCCTCCAAAGTTTAATGGTGGCTACAAAAGTTGAACAAGTTAAAGTGAAGTTAAAATAAGAAGAATATATATATAAATGGAGAAATAAATTAGTCTACTCAATAGAACACAATTATAAAATGGAATAAAATTAAAAGGACCAGTGAATATGTTGCCTTACATGGCAAAAAGGACTTTGTAGACACGATTGAATTAAGGATTTTGAGATGGTGAGATTGTCCTGGACCATTTTGGTGGACTCAATCTAAGCACAAAGTCCTTATAATGATATAGGGAAGGAGGACAGTCAGAGAATTGAAATGTGGAGATGGATATAGGACTAAGAGAGATGCATCTGTGATTTTGAAGATGGAGGAAGGTGCTGTGAGCCAATGAGTGGAGGTTGCCTCTAGATACTGGGAAAGACAAAACAAAACAAAAAAAGAACAAGAATAAAAGAACAGGCCAGATCATCCAGAAGGAATACAGACATATCAACATCTAGAAATATGTTTCAGACTTCTAACCTGCAGAAATCTAAAATAATATATTTGCGTTGTTTTAAGCCATTAAGTTTGTGGTAATGTGTTACAAAAGCAATAAGAAATTAATGTCTCATATGCTCCACAATGATATAAATAATATCAGAAGTATTAGTAAATTGTATAGAATTTAAGAAGTAGGCACTGATAACATTGTTAATGTGGTTCAGTATAATGTTCTGGTGAAAGGAAGAAAATAATTGAGAATGATAATTTGAGAATTTCTTTTGATCACCTTCAAGAATATAAAGTCAAAAACGAAAAGAAAATATGATCTGTAGGAAATATAAACATAGCCTATAACAAGGAGAGAGAGTCAAATAGAGTTTATTATGAAAATTTATAGGCCAAGCACAGTGGCTTATGCCTGTAATCCTAGCACTTTGGGAGGCCGAGGCAGGTGGATCGCTTAAGTCCAGGAGTTTGAGATCAGCCTGGGTAACATGGCAGAAGACCATGTCTACAAAATTTAGATGGAAGTGGTGGTGTGCTTATGGCCCCATTTACTCGGGAGGCTGAAGTGGGAGGATCCCTTGAGCCCAGGAGGTGGAGGTTGCAGTGACCTGTGATAGTGCCACTGCACTCCAGACTGGGCGACAGAGTGAGACCCTGTCTAAAATAATATAATAATATGAAATCAAGAAAATTCAGAAATTTGCAATTTAGCTAAGATTAAAACAGATTACATTGGACTAGAATAGTTGTATAACAAAAGTGCGTGTGTGTATGTGTGCATGTGTGTGTGTAATTACATATGTTATTGTCCAATGCCATTTCTTGAAATATCATAGATCGTATTTCAGTGTAGCTTGGCATAAAAAGCATAAAGAACATTAAAAAATCTTGGCTTTGAAATTGTGTAGATCTCAGTTTCCTAGTACATTAAGATCTCAGTTTTTTGTACATTAAAAAGTATGTTTATACTATGCTGTGGTCTGTTAAGTCTGCAATAGTATTATGTCTAAAAAATTGTACATACCTGTTAAAAATTCTACATTGCTAAAAAATACTAATGGTCATTTGAATCTTCAGTGCATCATACTCTTTTCATTAGCGAAGAGTCCTGCCTTGATGTTGATGGTTGCTGAATGATCAGGGTAACTGTTGATGAAAGTTAGGATGGCTGTAAACAATTTCCTAAAATAAGACAACAATTAACTTTGCTGTATCAATTGACTCTTCCTTTCATAAAAGAGAAAGTTTTCTTTGGAGCATGAGATGCTGTTTGTTAGCATTTTACCCATAGAACTTCTTTCAAAATTGGAGTCGATCCTCTCAAATTTTGCTGCTGGTTTATCAACTAAGTTTATGTAATATTATGTATGTTTCGTTGTCATTTGAACAATGTTCACAGCGTCTTCACCAGGAGTTGACTCCATTTCAAGAAACCACTTTATCTGCTCATGCATAGGAAGCAACTCCTTGCCTATTCAAGTTTTATCATAAGATTGTAGTAAATCACTCATATCTTCAGGCTCTACATCTAATTATAGTTCTTTAGCTATTTTCACTACATGGGCAGATACTTCCTATACTAAGTCTTGGACCACTCAGTCACCCATGAGGGTTGGAATATATGTTTTCCAAATTCTTGTTAATGTTGATATCTTGACCTCTTCCCAAAAACAAGGAATGTTCTTAATGGCATGTAGAGTAGCAAATCATTTCCAGAAAGTTTTCAATTTACTTTTCCCATATCCATCAGAAGGATCACTATCTATGGAAGCTAGTAGCTTTACCAAATATATTTCTTAAATAATAAGACTTATAAGTTAAACATTTTTTCCTGATCCATAGGCTACAGAATGGAGGTTGTGTTATCATGCATGTGAGCAGCTCTAATTGCCTTGCACATCTCCATAAGAGATCTTCAAATGACCAGGTGCATTGTCAATGAGCGATAACATTTCAAAAGAATTTTTTTTTTTCTGAGCAGTAGGTCTCAACATTTGGGCTTAAAATATAAAATAAATCATGCTTTAAACAGACTTTTTACTTTCCATTTCTAGAGAATTTTTCCATTTCTTTCCGTTTCTAGAGCACAGGCAGAGTGAATTTATCATGATTCCTAAAGGCCCTAGAATTTTCTGGATCATAAATGAGAATGTATTTCAGCTTAAAGTCACCAGCTGCATTAGCCCCTAAGAAGACAGTCAGCATGTACTTTGAAGCTTTGAAGCCAGGCATTGACTTCTCCTCTCTAGCTTTAAAAGTCCTAGACAGCATCCTCTTCCAACAGAAGACTTTTTCATCTACATGGAAAGTATTAATTTTTAGTGTAGCAACCTTTATCAGTGACCTTAGCTAGATCTTACAGGTAACTTGCTGCAGCGTTTCCATCAGCACTTGCTTCTTCACCTTGTACTTCTGTGTTATGGAGACAGCTTCTTTCCTTAAGCCTTATGCACCAATTTCTGCTAGCTTCCAACTTTTATTCTTCGGCTTACTTACCTCTCTCAGCCTTCATAGAATTGGAATGAGTGTCAGGGCCTTGCTTTGGATTAGTCTTTGGTTTATGGGAATGTGGCTTGTTTGATCTTCTAACCAGAACACTAAAACTTTCTCCATATCAGCAATAAAGCAGATTCACTTTCTTATCATACATGTGTTCACTGAAGTAGCACTTTATATTTCCTTCAAGATGTTTTTCTTCACATTCACAACTTCATTGTTTGGCAAAAGAGGCCTGGCTTTTGACCTGTCATAGCGTTCACCATACGTTCCTCACTAAGCTTAAACATTTCTAGCTTTTTATTTAAAACAAGACACACATGATTCATCCTTTTACTTGATCACTTAGAGTCTGTTGTAAGGTTCCTAATTGGCCTCAGTTCAATATTATTGTGTCTTAGGGAACAGGGAACCCTGAGGAGAGGTAGAGAGATGGGGGAATGGCTGGTCGGTGGAGCAGTCAGACAAACACATTTATTTATTACTTTGCTGTCTCATATGGACACAGTTCTTGGGTCACCAATAAAATAAAACTAGTAACCTCAAAGATTGCTGATCACAGATCACTATAATAGACATCATAATAACAAAAAATACCAATATATTACACAGAGACACAAAGTTAACACATCTTTCTGGAAAAAAATGATTCCAATAAACCTGCTTGATACAGGGTTGCCACAAACCCTCAGTTTGTAAAAAACACAGTATCTGCAAAGCACAATAAAACATGGCATTATTGTACTTCATAGACCAGTCTCCTCATTCATCTATTCAGAGAAGAGACATGTTCCACTGTATACAAAATACAAAAATCTTAACACTTTGTCTCTGTTGTTTCTATCATCTTGAAGGCAAATTTGCAAGTATGTTTGTGTTCTGAACAAAAACTGACCCCGCGGTGTAGACAGAGACATATGGGAGCCAGATTGTACCTGTCAAAAGTCAGTCTTGAGAAAGCATTGGTGTGGGAGAATGTATTAATGTTCTCGATTGTTAATGTTTGCTTTGTGACCTTCCCATTAGCAGATATGTGTGCCTCTACTTACTGGTACATTCATCCATCTCTCTAATGGCTCTGCCTCTGTAGCTGCTGTTAACACCAGTTATTCATCATTACAAGTAGAATATGTTCTATTCCTAACATGGACTTCATTTCAACTGAATATAGTATGAAAAAGTTATACATTCAGACAAATTTCTCATGTTTCATATTCTACATGGTTTAATACTACTGCAAATTTGAGATTTAGAAACATGGACTTCTTTCCCCTTTGGAGTTTGAGTGAAAAGGTCTTTTCTGAGCTAAAATATAAAATGAGATTGAAAACAAATTTACCTCGAATGACAAGTTATTAAATGTTTAAATACATTACTATATATTTCAAATCAATACTTGCTACACTTTGATAGTATTCAAAATTTAATTCATATATTATATTTTATTTAAGTTTTATTTTTAAGAAAATATAATCAATCTTATGGAAGTACTCTTTATCTACACTATTGATCTGATTCTTTTTTTCCATCTATTCTGTACATTTTTACTTTATTAGAATGAGGTATCTTTTTCTCACATGTAAACACTTTCATACTATTTCCCATGCTGAGAGCTTTATTATATGAAACTTTATATTCAGTTTCTTAATTATTTATGTGTGATAACTGTTTTCAACAAGTCCAAGGTGACTAATTTGAGATGCCTAAAAATACATATATTTATTTCGTTAAAACAAATACAACTGATTGATTTCAGGAAAAACTTATTTTGGGGGAATATTAAAATAAGAATTAGTAAAAGCATATAAAAACAAAATTTGGAGAAAATGATTGCAATGTTGTTGAAATTGCAAGCAAGAAGTTAGTATCTGTAAACAAATGTGAAAGTATGAGTTTGCATGGACTTTTTTCAGATTCAAGTAATGAATGCTTATGAATGGCCTAATATTCAAAGTGTACAAACATGATTAAAGAAATAGATTTGAAAGTTTCACTCCTGAAATTTAATTACTCATAAGTTTATGTCCGGCCACAGCTAATTATACTCTGGATTTGAAGCGTACTGAGAGCTCTGTAGTATCATTGTATAAATGGGGATTTCGGTAAGAATTTAAATCTGAGTGGGTCAGAGGCATAATTTAATGTAACTTTGACCAGTATGTAAGGGAATCAAGTGTGTTAGTGAAGCATGGGAGCAGGACATTTTAGGTCTAAGTAACATGAAAGTTCAAGTGGCTGGTATTGCATTGTTTCTAGATCAATAATTTGCTTAGAGCAGGATCTTATTCCATTGGGTTGATACAAGGATAGTTTATAGTGTTGGGTCCAGCTTCCAGAAGGCAGATGGCAAAGTAAACTGGACTGCAGCAGACTTACAAACCATCTTTGGGAGCAGGGCATATTGAAAAAAAAAAATGAGGTTTACTTGCAGTAGTATGGCCAGAGTTAAGTGACCACAGAAGACCAGAAAGGCACATGCCTAGGGTTCATCTTATATATACTCAAAATCTGACCAAATCTCTACCCTCTCAGATAGTGGTCTTGCATTCCCTGATGCTGAGAGACTGAGTCTATATATTGAAGACTTCATTTCACCAGCAGGTGCAAATGTTCTACATTTCAAAGCCATCTGTGTTTTTTAAGTGATTGAGGCCAAGAGTAATCCATATTTAGTTGTTTTGACCATTTAAACTAAGGTTTATGTTATTCTTTGACTTTATCAATGTACTAATGTACATATTTTATATGCTGTACCATGTATATCTGTGAATAAAAAAAAATACATGTCACTGTCGTTCAATTGTTTTTCTTTCATTACTGCCCCCACCCAAAGGAAATTTTTAGATTTTTTTGATTACTATCACTGCTAGGTGACTTTTTAGGATTTGGTTTTATTAAATACTAACACATTTCATTAAATTTTAGTACCACAGAGATGCTGTATATCTATTTATGTACTGTGGTCATTTTGGAACAACAAATTATTATCTATCATTTTTCCACTCCCCCAAAAGAATCAATGTTTACCCCCTTGTGGATAAATTAGAGGTTAAAATATCATCCCAGTAGAATACATGTAATAACTTAAAATTATTAAAAAGTTAGTTTTTAAAACATTTTTCAGTTTGGTGGCTTGTATATATGGCACTTTGTTTAGCATCAACAAAATTTATTTGGAAATATACAAATATGGCAAAAATGAAAGTTAATAAATTTTATTTTTTTTCCTTCTATTCAACTCCTGTGTTCCTAAGATCTGCTGAGGTTCTTACATAAATATTCATAAGATTAATATAGACTAATAGACTAATTCTGACTCTCCAGGTTTCACCTCAGTAATTTTCCCCTCTCCTATGTCATTGATCACCCCTGATTCATTTTCAGCAAAGGAACATACTGACATAGCTCCTATCTTAATGTGTTTGCCATTGACCAAGCTTCTGGTTTAGCTACTGACCCATTTGTTCCCCATCCTTGAGAGAAATCTCCTTGAGAAACAGGCCTATACTATTTCTCTCTGTCCACTTATTATTCCTATTGTCTACTAAATCCACCCCTATGTTACCTTCTACATACTCCTCCACAAAGCAGGTCTTGTCAAGAATACAGATACCACTTACATTGACAAATCCAGTGGCTGAGCTTCAGTTCAAATCTTATTTGGCTTATTCTTTCCTACTTACTGGCCACTCATTCTCATTCTCCTTTGTTGGATTCTGAAATAAAGGACCAAGAGCTAAGACTTCGATGATATTATCTTCCTCATACACACTCCTAGCAAATTCATTAAATCTCCTCTGGGAGTGATATGGACTTCTTGGATATTTAATACACATAGCTTATTTAACACATCCAAAGCAAACCTGGTATTTCCTGCACCAAAATAGAAAAGCTGTTTCTACTACAAACTCCTCATTTCTATAAACAACACTTCCAACTTACCAGCCTCTCAATTCATAAAATTTGAAGTGACAATTATGAATATTTTACACTGAGTTAACATATATGAGATAATTGTCAGTGTGGTATGGTGTGGACACATCCGGACCTAGGGGTAGCTTTCATAAGACTGTAGTCCTCTCTGATTTCAAAATAAAGATTTAAGTGTAAATAAAGTTTTGGATCTAATTATTGACCACCTTTTAAGACAGTTTACTAACAAGCTTACATTTGAGTAATCTGAACATGTAAAAGAAGTGAAAAATATGTTAGTAAAATACAGGCAGAGCTCAAGGAATGACATAAACTAAGTATCTCCACATTGATAGTTATTTACATTAAGAAAAGATCAAGAAACAATATTTGAAACACTTGAAACCAAGAAATGTTTCTAACTGGAAATATTTCCAAAAATTCTAACAGAATAGAAAATACAAATAATTTATATACATATGAATAGATGTTTAGCAACCAGGGAGTCACAAATTAAAACACAATGATATGCCATTTTATACACACCGGATTAGTAAAACATGGATGCTTGATATTAAGTACTGACGAAGATACTGGACAGTAAAAACAACCATAAAAAAAGGAATGAATTAATGGCATTTGGAGCAACTTAGATCAGATTGGAGACTATTTTTCTAAGTGAAGTAACTCAGGAATGAAAAACCAAACATTGTATGCTTTCACTCATAAGTGAGAGCTAAGCTATGAGGATGCAAAGGCATAAGAATGACACAATGAACTTTGGGGACTTGGGAAAGGGTGGGAAGGGGGTGAGGGATAAAAGACTACAAATCGAATGCAGTGGATACTGCTGTGGTGATGGGTGCACCAAAATCTCACAAATCCCCACTAAAGAACTTACTTATGTAACTGAATACCACCTGTTCCCCAATAACCTATGGAAATAAAAAAAATTGCAAAAAAAATTACAAAAATAAACATTGCTGAGGAGATAAGGACAATTGGTCCTGTTAGGTCACATGTTCTTTTCTGGGTTAATTGTATTTAGTCTCTTTTGTTTCATCCATGTGGATATTTATAGGAGAAGAAGCAAAAATTAAAGAATATAAAGGATAATATGTACTTAAAAATGGTGGTTTATTACAATTCTACCATAACCTACTTTCATTATCATTCATTAGATTTGGTGTTTTTAAAACATATATTTTTATCTTTTAATTTACTGATACATTTTATTTGATTCTCATATAAGATGTAAGTTGCAATGTCATTCACTGAGATGATACAGAATTTTTATGAGTAAAATTGCCAAAATAAGACTCCATTGTTTTATGGTTTATCAGTAATTAAACTATTTACTTTCAGGCAGAAGACAAGCACTAGAGTTAGATGTCTAAGTGTTGTATGAAAAAAATCATTTTGCAAATGTAGAATAATATCTGTTCTGTAAATGAAACCTTTGCCAATCCTATAAATGACTTTGTGTTCATTGTTAAGAATCTGTAATTTTATAACTTTACAAATTTAAAGTGTACTGGAAATCAGATTTAAAAGTGTATATATAATTCTTAAATTATACATTCATTTCAAAATTTAATCTGACATTGTTCATTTCATATTTTGAAAAATAGTATGAATAATATCAGTATTGAAATTACCCTAGTATGACTCTTAAAATGTAATGTAAGTAAAAAATTTTAAACACAAATTTATTGACAGGAATTATAATCCTCAGTTTGGGAATTTATACTAAAAAGTATACTAAGACTTAAAATTCATTACGGAAACAAAGCACACTTAAAAGGCAGTGCAGTGTATTGGTTAAGACATGGACCTTGGAGTTTGAATTGGAATGCTGGTTCCAGCACTAACTTTGTGACAATGGACATTTACTTAGCTTCATGTAAATTGTTTCTACAAATCTAATATGTGGATATTCACAGTACTTTCCTCATATAAGCTTTTTGAGGATTAAATTCATCAATCACATATAAAATACTTAGAACAGTGCCTAACACCTAAGTGCCAAGTAAGTGTGTTCTATTGTTATTATTGAGCAGTTAAACAACAAAAACCTAGTAAATCATTTTGAGCAAACTATATATTTTCTCTCATTTTTCTTCTTACAGTATTCCAGCATAGAAACCAAAGTTATAAAGAAAGTAAATGACTTTCTCAAGGAATCTCAGTTAGTTGGAAACAGAGCTGCGGTGAGAACTAGGAACTCTATATATGTTACATGCTGCTAACGGTTCCTACTCAAAAAATAAATCCTACCCAAGTTAGCCAAGGCACTAAGTTCGTATATAATTACAAATCTATCATTGGTCACATGCATATTCTTGGCACTGCACCTATTTTTGCCTCTCTCTTACCTTTTATTTACTATTTTAAACTCTTACAACAATACTTCAAGATAAAAATTACTAACTAAACTTGAAGAAAAGATATAAGGATGTTAAATTATATACCTAACATTATCCAAATAATAAACCACAGAACAGGGATTCAAACCAAAGACTGTCTTTGCCTAAAATGCAATTTCTTTTCCCACTAAACTATTGTTTGTGAGTTTTATACAAAGTAGATTAAAGCAGAATATAACTTTACAGTGGTTTTTTTTTTTTTGGTACGTTAAACTCTACCGTCAAGTCCTTCCCAAACTTAATAGGTTTTAAGATAATTTGATATTTTACTTTGTTCTAGGCTATATAGTGCTAGGTCAAGAACTAGTCCATGCAGTATTCAAGACTAGACTCCCAACTGCATAGATTCCTGTCAATTAACACTTTCCAGGAGTCTTTAGATAGTCTGACATGGCTATTGCCTGTGCAATGTACTGCAAAATTATTGAGTAAAGTATTTTAAAACACAGATTATAATTTATTAAGTATTTGCTAGCTGGATGGGATGGTGAAAGAGATCGGTTTAATAGGTTGGGTTCTTCTCATTCGTGCTGGTTTATAAACTTTGCTTGTATACCTGTTTTAACCATCCATGCATGCTTAATGGCTCTTTCTATCAAGTCTACCTGAAGGTTAACCTAATGTCTATATTAGGTCAATAGATTCTGTAACATAAATCTATGCAGATGGGCTATTAAATGATATCAAAATTACTCAAGCAAGTGATAATGGTGATTTATTTTTACTTTAATTCCTTTAGAGTATGAGGAAGATCTTTAAAGTGTATATAAAAATGTTAATAAAGCTGATATCAAGGTGCTATTGCATAATTTTATCTTTTATTCCAAGTCAGAAAAAATATAGCTAATTACGCCATAAGTATATAAAATATTGGAAATGAAGCTTTTCTCTTGATGTAATAAAACTTCTAAAAAAGCAGAGTTGGTTATCTGCACCATTTTTCTTTAATTCATGCTATACATTTGTTGAGGAATACATGTGTGAATGTATGTGTGTGTGCATATATATATATATATATATATATATATAAACATTGAACAAAGAATTCTGTTATTACAAATCACAAGTCTTGTCTCAGCCTAACAATCTGGTAATGCGGCAAGCAGATATTAAGCATTAAAATGTAGTTCTATAGAAGTACACTTATTAATACACTAAGAAAGGTAAACTAAAAAATTTCTTAAAGTTCTGTTATATGTAGGCACTGTGTTATACAAATAAAGTGAAATGATTCAGACAAAACATCCACACATGGTAGGGAGAAATGAGCACAAAAATTAGTGTTCTAACAGTGTTACACATGTGACATTTTAGAAAAGATATCAGAAAGGTTTGGATATCAACTTGATGGAATAGGAAGGAAAATGGAAGACTGAAAAAAATTCTCATTCCCTACATGATAAATTCCAAGCTAACCTGACATGCCATGTCCTTGAAAAACTGGACTATGCTTACTTCCACTTCCAGCTTCTGTCAATCCTTTGCATTAACCCTCACGTTTATATACAGAAAAAATAACATGCCTGAGGTTCCATAACATACCCTCAATCTTCATACCCCTACCCTGCACATGTGTTTTCATCTTGTGCTTGCATTTGCAATTTCCTTGATTGCCCCTACTCCTCACATGTTTTCTTAGAATTGTATCGCCATTTTAAGTCACTTTATTTTAGATTTTTTTTGACCATATTTAGTTCCCCCTACAAAGTCTGAGTGGCAGCCATTTGGCTCTTATAAAATCTAATGCATATCTGTGATTCTGTCCATGTTCCTTGTATTAAGATTCTTTGTTATCCATACTAACAAATACGGTAAATTTTTGGGACACAAAGATTACATCTTATTTTTTAATTCTAGTACTTAGCACAATTTGGGGTTATATAATATATAATACACAGGATTAGTATACCCAACAAAAGTTTCCACATGAAATTGAGATGACACATTTGAAAACTTCAAGGTTGAGTAGAAATTAAATAGGAAGACAAATGCAGTAAGATCATTCCAGAAATAAGAACCAATGTAAAAAATGCAGAATTCTAAGAAAATATAGTGTTAGGTCATCCTATAATATGATTCAGAAATGAGTTTTATTTCTGGGAACATGCCTGACTTATTATCTTATTCTCACATGAGACAACATGGTTATCTTGAAAAGGTATGCAAAGTTTGTGAGTCTGGGATCATGAAATTCAGAGACTGATTTTTCCCCTAAGCTAACTTGAAGTATCCTGACTTCCACTGTCAGTAGAGTAGAAAAGTATGCCTATCAAAAGACTAGGATAGAAAGAAAGATACAGGAAAAGACAGAGGATGTAAAGAAGAAAGAGCTAGGCATTATCTAGGCATGTATTTTGTCTTCAGTTTAAACATCCCCCCATTACCTGGTTTTGGTTTAGTTGACACATTGTAATTGTATATATTTAAGGGATATAATTTGATGTTTCAATACATATATTTGTTGTATAATAATCAAATAAGGAGAGTTAACATACCCATCAGCTGATGCATTTACAATTTCTTTGCAGTGAGGATATACCATACTTTACTGTTAAGCAAAGAATAAAAGAGTGGTTATCAGAGATTGGGGAGGGGAAAGGAGAATGGAAGATAAAGAGAGGTTGTTCAACAGCTACAAAGTTACAATTAGATAAGAGGAATAAATTCTCATGTTCTGTTGCACACTAGGGTGACTATAGTAAAGACTTGTATTTTTATATTTATTTATTTATTTATTTATTTATTTAGAGATGGAGTCTTGCTTTGTCCTTCAGGTTTGAGTGTAGTGGTGTGATCTCAGTTCACTGCAACCTCTGCCTCCAGGGTTCAAGGAATTCTCGTGCCTCAGCCTCCCGAGTAGCTGGGATTATAGGCTCCCAACACTATGCCAGGTTAATTTTATATTTTCAGTAGAGATGGAGTTTCACCATGTTGGCCAAACTGGTCTCAAACTCCTGACCTCAAGTGATTTGCTCGCTTCAGCTTCCCCAAAGTGCTGAGACAGGTGTGAGCCACCGTACCCGGCCAAGACCTGAATTTTTAATTGTCCACTGAACAACATCATTGCACAGATTCACAGGCATATCACTTCATCTTCAGATCTTCTACTCCATCTGAATAATGATTTCAGCTAATGCCATATTTATTTGTTACTTTAACAAATTTTTATTGATAAAGTAGATTGTATATTTCACCGTGCCAGACATTCAGTATTGTCCAGTAAACAAAATAGTCATAATATCTGCACTTGAGGAAATAGTCAAACTGTGTAGCCAAGAATAATATGAATCCTCTTAGATCCCTTCTCATCATTTCACTTTCCATATCCACTCAATCACTAGGTTACTAGATCCTTTTGAATCTACTTCTCAATATTACATCCCTCAAATTTGTCCCTTTTCTCTATTTGCACAACCACCTTGGATTGAACTCATAGACTTTTCTCACTTAAACAAGCCTCTTAATATTATTTGCTCTGTTTTGCACTCACTATATATTTTCCACCCTATTTTTTATAAACAGACTTAATCATATCTCTGTTGTGCTTAGCACCTTTATCTTGCCTTCTTCTATCCCAACAAAACACCTATTTTTTCAAGGTTTCAACATGACTCTGTATGACTCAGGGGAAGAAACTCTAGTTGAGTTTCTGAGGCTGATGCTGATTGGTATATGATTATCTAAACCAATCATAGTAATCTCTTTTTCCATAGCTACTAGTTATGTTATGGATAGGCATGTGTCTCAGTTCTGGCAAATGAGAGACTTTGGGTGTCTTTTGAAGGGTTTCTTGGAAAAATTTCTTACTCTTAGGAAAGATTAATTGGAAGATATGATACATCTTGATGCAATGCCTGGAACGTCTGTACCCATTTTGCTGTGTGTGACCTTGAAAAATAAGCCAAAATAATTTCAGTGAATCTTAACTAATTTCCCGAAGTTATCATCCTTGTATGCCACCTTGACTTTGCAAAATTAACATTGTGAAAGTCCAATTAGTCGGGATTTCTCATATTTGCATCTTTATGCATGCCAGATAAGGCCTTCCATGATGTTCTCCTGATTTTCAACCTTAACTCTTGTACCCCCTTACTTTTTGAACTATTGTTTCAACTAAATTGGTTGAAACACCAAGACATGCATATGGTTCACCTGGGATCTTTTAGAAAGCAGATTTTGATTTAGTAGTTTTGGAGTAGGGTCTGGGGTTCTGCGTTGTAGTTTATACTATGCTGCTGATCTATGAATCAGTCTTTGAGTAAATATGTACTAGATTCCCTGTAAGTACTCTTTTTAGACCACCGGGCTTGGAGAAGACAAAACCAGCACTGAAGCTGTGCATATTATGAGGCATATTTTCTGATCCTTGTCTTGTTAATCACTTCTTTCTAAGGCACTAGTTCCTTTGAAATCAGATAAATTCTCTAGTAAAATAACATAAATGGCCAACACATTATTAACACTCAGAATCAGAATGTGTGCATATATATATATGTATATATCAGAATACACACACGTGCACATGTACTTAAATGACGGTATTTCATTCTTAATGCCATATCCTCTTGTTTGCTCTGAAAGTTTCCTTTGAGTTAACTCAAAAAACTGTCTAGATTAGAAATTTGAATATGTGATAGTTTTAGAAAGAACTCCTTAACAAGGAGTTCCAGAAAATGATTAAAGCTATATTAATTACTGGAAACTAGTTTCCTGCAGTTAAGAACAGTGGATTACCTAGAGTAATTTAAAATAAATACCTACTGTTATTAGCATAAAACTTTGTTTTCCAAATTACTGGTAAAAATTGTCTAGATTTTATAATTTTTCTCTATTTACTAGTTTCCAGGGTTCTCGTTTACACTGGAGCTAGAAAAACTTGAAATTCTGCTGATAATTGGTGTCTTCCTGGTTCTGACATTTGAAACATTTAAACCACAATGAAGTTTCTTCTGTCTTTTATTTGCACTTTTCTCTTACATGAGAAAATATAATTACAGACAAAACATCAAGAAGATCATACATGGCAATTGTTATTCAAATCAAGATGTAAGTAATGCAAACAGTAGTGAATATTTAATAATTCATTTCTAGAGTAACTATAAAAGGAAAAAATAACATAAAATATAATAAGAATGTTAGTATTTTTAACTGGAGACAAGAGTTCTAGGAGTCTTCCAACTTATTTATTTTCTACTTCTTTGAAAAAAAGAAATATTTAGTTTGATAAATTTTTCTAAACATTTGTTGACTAGGGCTTATTTTTTATAAAGAAGTCTAATTTTAGTTATAAAGAAAAATCTTTGTAGGTGGGTGTGGTTGTTTTCTCCAATTCAATTTAAATTCAAATACTACATCCTTAAGAACACAATCACGGGAGAAGTCGTTTCAGGCTTAAATTTCTGTTCAACTTTCCTGCTCACAGTATAATAAATTAACCTAAGCAAATTCTCTTTGTAAAATGTCCTTTTTACTAGAAATATCCAGAGATCTAATATTCATAATCATTTGTGAGTTTTAATATTATATTTTTTATTAAACTATGGCAAGATTGTTTTAAAATTATTATATGTAATGGGTTATAAGTGATAAAAATTGCTGGAAAAATTATTAAACTATTCTAGAAATTTAATGAATAAGATTAGATATTAAAATAATAATAATCATAGAAATAATAACTGATGTATTTACTGCATGCCAAACTATTATAGTCCTCACATTATGTTTGCCATTTTTATTTTCTCCCTTCTATTCTATTAAACCTTACAATAAATTTACCTGGGCAATTCTTCTAAAATTCTCTTCTTCCAGAAAACATCCAGAGGTCAAATATTCATAGTTATATATGAGTTTGTATAGTATGCCACCTTGGAACAAGAAGATGTATGATTTTTTGTCAATTATTATGTTCTTTCCATTATGATTCAATTATGAAATATTGGTTCCTAATTATTATAGGACATGAATTCAAGAAATATTTGTGGCTCCTTCAAAGATAATTAACTTATACAGGGATTTAAATGAATAATGTTAAAAATTAAAATAATTTTAATTTTAATAATAGCAGTAATAATAAAATAATGATAATAATAGGCATGTTTATTATGTGCTGCACTAACAAGTTTGGTGTCATGACTAAACCATGTCTTTCTTCATTCTATTTGGCCACACAGCTATTTTTTTCTCTATAATACAGGGAGTTTCATGAAGCCACAACTTTACTTAAAATGGTTAAAGGTTTAGTTTATTTCTTCAGGTTCAGGTGTCTTTTTCTCCCTTTCATTGCTATAGAAAGAAAATTGGGCTCCATTGTGATTTTTATAGCATTTTTGTAAGACTGTTTATTTTCTTGTATTTTAAACGTCCCCAGAGGCAGCATGCTCCATATCTGTAAATTTAAATGTAGGTGTAGTTATTTAGAAATAAATAAGAAAATAAATAAAATATGTAGGATGATGCAAGCAGATATACAGCAGAGAACAACACATTTTGATTGTTGACTAGAAAACATGGGAAATTTTGTCATCTTCAATTTACCTTGCTTCACTCTGACCAAAACTTTCTCCACACAATGATGTATAGAATGGAGATGTGGTTTGTGGAATGGTTGAGATTTTTTCCTTGTGTGTGTGTGTGTGTGTGTGTGTGTATGTGCGTTTTCTCCTGAAGCTGGATGTAAGCATAGATGCCATTCAGTTAGAACACTGACTACAAGTTGAACGCAAAGGGTCCTGACCTCATTGAAACAGTTATTTGTGGTGAGGCAGTGTCTGCAAATAACATCTGTTAGACTAAATGCCTAGTGCATGAGATGGGGAAAAGGCACCTTCACACAAAAACGTAATATCCAGATTAGATGCCTGCTCCTTATTGAGTTTAGTAAAGAAAAGTTCTATTTGCTCTCAGCCCTGAGAATTACACAATGCATTCTCCTATCTCCAAAAATCAGCCTTGGATAGAAAAGGTACAATTTTAGAAGTAGGAAGAGTGCTAATATGTGAAAGGATTTATTTCAAATTTTTCTACACAAGGCATTTTTCTCTCAAATACTTTCAGATTCTAAGGCATTTCTTGACAATATGTATATTTTTAATTGTAATTGATCCTGATATATAAATGTTAGAACTGGAAAAATTGAAATATCTATCAAGTAATAAATTTTACTAAATCTGCCACAATGATAATGCAAAATTCAAAGTTCAGGCTGAAGACTATATTCTTCTTAAACATTTCCATCAGCTTTTAAAATATGGGAGTGCCATCAAATTATATTTGACAGTGTAAGTAAAGCAAAAGGTGTACAGGGCTACTGTGTTTCATTGTGTTGATATGGAAATTGAAGCTCATATAAACCAAAAGTCAGATTCAGGAGTATTTCACTCATGCAAATCTGCCTTTAGAAATCACTTCTATCTGAAGATGCAAGCAAAGATTTAAGAATAGATATATAGGTGAGAATATACATTAATAAACTGATAGAAATGTATTGAGCACCTACTATGTCCAAGTAGTAGTGTACAGTACTTCTGGTGCTGACTGAGGTAGCATTTACAAAAAATAAAGGTTTAAAACAATAAATCTATTCAAATATTACACTCAAATGGCTTACATTCAAGTCAGAAAGATTTTAAGTCTTCAATGGTATGACTTCCAGAGGAGGGACTATGCTTATGCTAATTGCCTCCCTGGATTGCTTTCTTTTCATACTAACTTACTTATAATAACTAACATCCAATATGCAAAATAAATTCAGACTTGAACCATGACAAGAGAAAGTTATATCACTAAGTCCATTGTTATAATATTTATCTTATTACTTTGTACTTATCTGTCTTATTACTCCAAAATTTATAAAGACTACAAGAGCAAAAACTTTAGTGGTATTGTTGACAGTTGGATTCTTACACAATGTAAAAAAGCAGGTGATCAGTATATATTAATATATGAATACAATTATAAATTAATATATAAATATGACTTTATACATTATTTCTTATAATTGCTTTTTGTGTGCATATGCTATTGATAATTTTTTACTATTCTTAAAGGGGAGAGGTCTGTGTCATACATATCTCTGTATTTCTTACATGCTTGTACAGTGATTTTTACATAGTAAACATTTAATATATTTTGTTCTTTTTTTTATAATCAGGGAGATCTAACAGAGTGAATTTAGGTAGGAATCTAAACTAGAAAATTACTGCAATAAACAAAAGACCATAGGCATTTGCTTACATATACACATATTGTAAATTTAAAATTATTTCTTATGGGGTTTAAACTACATATCATCCATCCTAGTATACTTTGAATATAATGAAATGACTGAATTTCTAAATTTCTGTGGCTAAAGTAGTACCTTAGTCCCTTTGCACTGCTATAATGGAATACCACAGTCTGGTTAATTTATTAAAAGAAACAGAAATTTATTTGACTCACAGTTCTGGAGGCTAGGAAGTCTAAGTGCATGACACTGGCATCTGGTGAGGGCCTTTGTACTGCATCATCTCATGACAAAAGGTAGAAAGGCAAGAGAGGGCAAGAGCAAGAGGAAACAAGACAGGGCTGAACTCATTTTTAAAACTAACCCACTCCTGCAATAACAGCATTAATCCATTCATAAGGGCAGAGCACTCTTGAGCTAATCACCTCTTATTAGGCCCCACCTACCAACATTGTTGCATTGGAAATTAAGCTTACAACACATAAATTTTGGGGCACTCTTTCAAACCATAGCAGTTAGGTAAGATAAAACTAAATTATCTGCCTATGCATTGTAATTTTTGTGTTTATCATCAATGACATAATTTTTCATTTCTAATATATCAGTCTAAGGAGATATGCTTTACATCCTGGCAAAAACTAGATGACACTGTTCCTGCACTGATAGTCATAATATTTTGTTTTTGATATCTAGTGACTCAAAGCCTAAATTTCTATGCTTCTCTTATCCTCTTTTATAGTGGAAAACAGGTGATTCTTCCACGTTTATACATAATGCCTAGCTAGTGCTCTGAATTGAGGTTAAAGACATTAGTTCAACTCCCTCTTTTTGTGATCTATTGCACTTAGAGGAAGCTGGTATGTTTCTATATAATCAACTCAACAGTATATGAGCCATTTATTTTACATTGGCATGGTTTGGTAAAGCCCTAGCTTAAGTTTCTTTGCTTTTGCTTTCCTGTTTTACTTCTTTATAATTGAAAATGAACATGAGCTAAATGTGATATATACAATTCCAAATGTAGAATAAAATCAATCCATGGAGTTATAAGTAACTTTACATATTATATAGCATGCAATCAATATAGTATATTGGAAGAGTATTAATAATTTTATGTTAGAACCCATCTTCATTTTTCTCATCACATAATATCTACATTTCTTTTTGATACTTCTGTTTCTGTTTTTTCTTCATTCTCTTATATGATTCATAAGAATTTTAATCTTTTAAGATACCTCATCTTGATGTGAACAATTACTGTTGATTTTCCTGCATTTTAATAGCTCGTCTACTGTATTCGACTTGTGATTAGAAAAATATCCTTTTCTTACAGTTGGAAAACACGTGGAGCCCATGTCATTACCAACTTTGACTTAAACCTGTGTTTTTTTATAGATATCAAATAAAAGCAATATCTAGGAAAACAGTTTCTCTTTCAGAAAAAAAAATATAATTTTTGAGGGGTTTTAGTGATAGAAATCATTCAAATAAAAAATATAGTGTCATCCTGCTAGGAATAGTAAACCTTTACCAGAAATAAAATCTGAGTTATAAGAATCATCTAGCAACTCTCCATCATCCTGTGGCTGGGCTATAAAACATGTAGCTGCTAGAAATAAACAAGGAAACTTCTTTTCAGGACTTTGACATTTAATTCTATTTGAGGCTTGTTAAAGGTCATTCAATTTCTTTGCTTGCATTTTGCTTTCATTATCTTGCAAGCTACTTGGTGAATTAATTCATTTAATACTGTGAAGATGAAAATTGATTTGTATCAGATCATCTCATTCTGTAGATAACTTGCTAATTTCAGAAACATTTCATTGTTATTTGTAATGATGAAGAGGGGTATGGAAAAGATTTATGAGAAATAGAAGATCAAAGAAATCAGACATTCTAAAAAGACATCATTTTTCTGAATATATATTTTTAAATGACCATACTTGTATATTTTATAACAGCAAATGGGAAAAGAAAATGAGTGTGATAAAAAGCTGTTTATTAAAAATGAAGAGCAAGAACTAAAAGTTTAAACACTACCAGAAACATCATACTCAGACCCAAATAAAAATATCAGGATAGGGCTCGAGGCAAGATGGCCAAATAGGAAAAGATCCAGTCTGCAGCTCCTGGGGAGACTAATGCACAAGGCAGGTGATTTCTGCATTTCCAATTGAGGTACCCTGCTCATCTCATTGGGACTGGTTAGACAGTGGGTGCAGCCTACGGAGGATGAGCAGAAGCAGGGTGGGGTGTTGCTTCACCTGGGAAGCTCAAGGGGTCCAGAAAATCCTTCCCCTAGCCAAAGGAAGCCTTGAGGGACCCTGCCGTGAGGGACAGTGCTATCTGGCCCAGATACTACACTTTTCCCTTGGTCTTTGCAACCCACAGATCAGGAGATTCCCTCGGGTACCTACACCACAAGGGCCCTGGGTTTCAAGCACAAAACTGGGAGGCTGTTTGGGCAGACAACTAGCTAGCTGTAGGAGTTTTATTTCATAACCCAGTGGCACCTGGAACCCAAGTGAAAGAGAACCATTCACTCCCCTGGAAAGGGGACAGAGGCCAGGGAGCCAAGTGGTCTTGCTCAGCAGATGCCACCCCCACGGAGCCCAGCAAGCTAAGATCCACTGGCTTGAAATTCTCTCTGCCAGCACAGCAGTCTGAAGTCCAACTGGGGCACTCCAGCTTGGTGGAGGGAGGGGCATCCACCATTACTGAGGCTTGAGTAGGTGGTTTTCCCCTCACAGTGTAAACAAAGCAACCAGGAAGTTCAAACTGGGCGGGGTTCACCACAGCTCAGCAAAGTCTATGTAGCCAGACTGCCTCTCTAGATTCCTCCTCTCTGGGCAGGGCATCTATGAAAGAAAGCATCAGCCCTAGTCAGGGGCTCATAGATAAAACTCCCATCTCCCTGGGACAGAGTACCTTGTGGAATGAGGCGGCTGTGGGCACAGCTTCAGCAGACATACACGTTCCTGCTTGCCAGCTCTGAAAAGAGCAGTAAATCTCCCAGCACAGTGCTCGAGCTCTGCTAAGGGACAGACTGCCTCCTCAAGTGGGTCCCTGACCCCTGTGCCTCCTGAGAGGGAGACATTTCCCAGGAAAGTTCCACAGACACCTCATATAGGAGAGCTCCAGCTGGCGTCTGGTGGGTGCCCCTCTGGGACGAAGCTTCCAGAGGAAGGAGAAGGCAGCAATCTTTGCTGTTCTGCAGCCTTCAGTGTTGATACCCAGGCAAACAGGGTCTGGAGTGAACCCCCAGCAAACTCCAGCAGACCTGCAGTAGAGGGGCCTGACTGTTAGAAGGAAAACTAACAAACAGAAAGCAATAGCATCAATATCAACAAAAAGGATGACCACGCAAAAACTCCATCCGAAGATCACCAACAGCAAACACCAAAGGTAGGTAAATCCACAAAGATGAGGAAAAAATGGTGCAAAAACGCTGAAAATTCCAAAAACCAGAATGCCTCTTCTGCTCCAAAGTATCACAACTCCTCACCAGCAAGGGAGCAAAACTGGATGGAGCATGAGATTGATGAATTGACAGAAGTAGGCTTCAGAAAGTGGGTAATAACATACTCCTCCAAGCTAAAACAGCATGTTCTAGCCCAATGCAAGGAAGCTAAGAACCTTGATAAAAGGTTAGAGGAATTGCTAACTAGAATAACCAGTTTAGAGGGGAACATAAATGACCTGATGGAGCTGAAAAACAGCACAAGAACTTCGTGAAGCATACACAAGTATCAATGGCCAAATCGATCACGCAGAAGAAAGAATATCAGAGATTGAAAATCAACCTAATGAAATAAAGCAAGAAGACAAGATTAGAGAAAAAAGAATGAAAAGGAATGAACAAAGCCTCCAAGAATATGGGATTATGTGAAAAGACCAAACCTATGTTTGACTGGTGTACCTGAAAGTGACAGGGAGAATGGAACCAAGTTGGAAAATATTCTTCAGGATATTATCCAGGAGAACTTCCCCAACCTAGCAAGACAGGCAAACATTCAAATTCAGGAAATACAGAGAACACCACAAAGATACTTTTCGGGAAGAACAACCCCAAGACATATTATCATCAGATTTACCAAGGTTGAAATGAAGGAATACATGTTAAGAGCAGCCAGAGAGAAAGGTCGGGTTACCCACAAAGGGAAGCCCATCAGACTAACAGCAGATCTCTCTGCAGTAACCCTACAAGCAAGAAGAGAGTGGGGGCTAATATTCAACATTCTTAAAGAAAATGAATTTTCAACCCAGGATTTCATATTTAGCCAAACTAATCTTTATAAATGAAGGAGAAATAAAATCCTTTACAGACAAGCAAATGCTGAGAGATTTTTGTCACCACCAGGCCTGCCTTACAAGACTCCTGAAGGAAGCGCTAAATATGGAAAGGAAAAATTGGTACCAGCACTGTAAAAACAATCCACTAGGAAGAAACTGCATCAACCAATGGGCAAAATAACCAGCTAGCATCGTAATGACAGGATCAAGCTCACACGTAACAATATTTACCTTAAATGTAAACAGGCTAAATGCCCCAATTAAAAGACACAGACTGGCAAATTGAATAGAGTCAAGACCCATGACCATGCTGGAATCAGGAGACCCATCTCACATCAAAGACATACAAATGCTCAAAATAAAGGGATGGGGGAAGATAAACCAAGCAAATGGAAAGCAAAAAAGGCAGGGTTTGCAATCCTTGTCTCTGATAAAACAGACTTTAAAGCAACAAAGATTAAAAAAGACAAAGAAGGGCATTAAATAATGGTAAAGGGATCAATGCAACAAGAAGAGCTAACCATTCTAAATATATATGCACCCAATACAGAAGCACACAGATTCATAAAACAAGTTCTTAGATACCTACAAAGAGACTTAGACTCCCACACGGTAATAGTGAGAGACTTAAACACCCCACTGTCAATATTAGATCACAAGACAGAAAATTAACAAGGTTATTTAGGGCTTTAACTCAGCTCCAGACCAAGTGGACCTAATAGACATCTACAAAACTCTCCACCTCAAATCAACATTCTTCTCAGCACCACATAGCACTTATTCTAAAATCGACCACATAATTGGAAGTAAAAGACTCCTTAGCAAATGCAAAAGAATGGAAATCACAGCAAACAGTCTCTCAGAGCACAGTGCAATCAAATTAGAACTCAAGACTAAGAGATTCAAAACCACACAACTACATGGAGACTGAACAACCTGTTCCTGAATGACTACTGGGTAAATAATGAAATTAAGGCTGAAATAAGTAAGTTCTTTGAAACCAATGAGAACAAAGACACAACATATAATAATCCCTGGGACACAGCAAAAGCAGTGTTTAGAAGGAAATTTATAACACTAAATGCCCACAAGAGAAAGCAGAGAAGATCTAAAATCGACACCCTAACATCACAATTAAAAGAACTAGAGAAGCAAGAGCAAACAAATTCAAAAGCTAACAGAAGACAAGAAATAAGTAAGATCAGAGCAAAACTGAAGGACATAGAAACACACACACACACACACACACACACACACACACACAAAAAAAAAAAAAACCTTCAAAAAATCAGTGAATCCAGGAGCTGGCTTTTTGAACACATTAACAAAATAGATAGACTGCTAGCCAGGCTGATAAAAAAGAGATTAGAATCAAATAGTCATAATAAAAAATGATAAAGGGGAGATCACCACTGATCCCACAGAAATACAAACTACCATCAGAGAATACCATAAACATCTCTATGCAAATAAACTAGAAAATCTAGAAGGAATAAATAAATTCCTGGACCCATACACCCTCTCAAGACTAAACCAGGAAGAAGTTGAATCCCTGAATAGACCAATAACAAGTTCTGAAATTGAGGCAGTAATTAAAAGCCAACCAACCAAAAGCCCAGGACCAGATTAAATTAGGATTAACAACCGAATTTTACCAGAGGTACAAAAAGGACCTGGTACCATTCCTTCTGAAAATATTCCAAACAATAAAAAAAGACAGACTCCTCCCTAACTAATTTTATGATGCCAGCATCATCCTGATACCAAAACCTGGCAGAGACACAACAACAACAACAAAATTTCAGGCCAATATCCCTGATGAACATCAGTGTGAAAATCCTCAGTAAAATACTGGCAAACCAAATCCAGCAACACAT
Source organism: Homo sapiens (assembly GCF_000001405.40). Lineage (NCBI taxonomy): Eukaryota > Metazoa > Chordata > Mammalia > Primates > Hominidae > Homo > Homo sapiens. Next base: position 94,781,815 of record NC_000006.12, on the reverse strand, counting down.
TTAAAAGCTTATCTACCATGATCAAGTTGGCTTCACCCCTGGAATGCAAAGCTGGTTCAACATATGCAAATCAATAAACATAATCCATCACATAAGCAGTACCAATGACAAAAATCACATGATTATCTCAATAGATGCAGAAAAGGCCTTCAACAAAATTCAATACCCCTTCATGCTAACAACTCTCAATAAACTAGGTATTGACAGAACATGTCTCAAAATAATAAGATCTATTTATGGCAACCCCACAGGCAATATCATACTGAATGGGCAAAAGCTGGAAGCATTCCCTTTGAAAACTGGCACAAGACAAGGATGCCCTCTCTCACCACTCCTATTGGAACATAGTATTGGAAGTTCTGTCCAGGACAGTCAAGCAAGAGAAAGAAATAAAGCGTATTCAAATAGGAAGAGAGGAAGTCAAATTGTCTCTGTTGCAGATGATTGATTGTATACTTAGAAAACCCCATTGCCTCAGCTTCAAATCTCCTTAACCTGATAAGCAACTTCAGGAAAGTCTCAGGACACAAAATCAATGTGCAAAAATCACAATCATTCCTATACACTAAAAATAGACAAACAACCAAATCATGAGGAAACTCCCATTCACAATTGCTACAAAGAGAATATCTAGGAATACAATTGTAAAAGATGTGAAGGACTGCTTCAAGGAGAACTACAAACCACTGCTCAAGCAAATAAGAGAGGACACAAACAAATGGAAAAACATTCCATGCTCATGGATAGGAAGAATCAATATCTTGAAAATGGCCATACTGCCCAAAGTAATTTATAGATTCAATACTATCCCCATCAAGCTACCATTGACTTTTTTCACAGAATTAGAATAAAACTACTTTAAATTTCATATGGAACCCAAAAAGAGCCCATATAGCCAAGACAATCCTAAGCAAAAAGAACAAAGCTGGAGGTATCATGCTACCTGACTTCAAACTATACTACAAGGCTACAGTAACCAAAACAGCACGGTACTGGTACCAAAACAGATATATAGACTAATGGAACAGAACAGAGACCTCAGAAATAACACCACACATCTACAGCCTTCTGATCTTTGACAAACCTGACAAAAACAAGCTATGGGGAAAGGATTCCCTATTTAATAAATGGTATTGGGAAAACTGGCCAGCCATATGGAGAACAGTGAAACTGGATGCCTTCCTTACACCTTATACAAAAACTAACTGAAGATGGATTAAATACTTAAACGTAAGACCTAAAACCATAAAAACCCTAGAAGAAAACCTAGGCAATACCATTCAGGACATAGGCATGGGCAAAGACTTCATGACTAAAACACCAAAAGCAATTGCAACAAAAGCCAAAATTGACAAATGGGATCCAATGAAACTAAAGAACTTCTGTACAGCAAAAGAAACTATCATCAGAGTGAATAGGCAACCTATAGAATGGGAGAAAAATTTTGCAATCTATCCATCTGACAAAGGGCTAATATCCAGAATCTACAAGGAACTTAAATTTACAAGAAAAAACACAAACTTCATCAAAAAGTAGGCAAAGGATATGAACAGACACTTTTCAAAAGAAGGCATTTATGTGGCCAACAAACATATGAAAAAAAGTTCATCATCACTGATCATTAGAGAAATGCAAATCAAAACCACAAAAGTACATCTCACGCCAGTTAGAATGGTGATCATTAGAAAGTCAGGAAACAACGGATGCTGGCGAGGATATGGAGAAATGGGAACACTTTTACACGGTTGGTGGAAGTGTAAATTAGTTCAACTATTGTGGAAGACAGTGTTGGGATTCCTCAGGGATCTAGAAGCAGAAATACCATTTGACCCAGCAATCCCATTACTGGGTATATACCAAAAGGATTATAAATCATTCTTCTCTGAAGACACATGCACACATTTATTGCAGCACTATTCACAACACGTTTATTGCAGCACTATTCACAGTAGCAAAGACTTGGAATAAACCCAAATGCCCATCAGTGTTAGACTGGATAAAGAAGATGTGACACATATACATCATGGAATACTATGCAGCCATAAAAAAGAATGAATTAATGTCCTTTGCAGGGACATGGATAAAGCTGGAAACCATCATTCTCAGCAAACTAACACAGGAACAGAAAACCAAACACCACGTGTTCTCACTCATAAGTGGGAGTTGAACAATGAGAACATATGGGCACAGGGAGGGAAACATCACACATGGGACCTGTCAGTGGGTAGGGGGCAAGGGGAGGGAGAGCATTAGGAGAAATACCTAATGTGGATGATGGGTTGATGGGTGCAGCAAACCACCATGGCACATGTATATCTATGTAACAAACGTGCACATTCTGCATATTCATCTCAGTACTTAAACTATAATAATAAAAAAAAATCAGGATAGATCTAAAATATTTGTTAAAGCTGAGAGTGGCTATAGCAAACATAAAGGAGGAAAAATTATCTTTACAAACCTTATAGTTACAAAGGCAAATAAAAGAGGAGTGTAAAATTGATAAGAGAATAGAATGAGTATGATTAGATCAATTCTATTAAAACCTATGAAAGACAATAAATGATTCAATAGAAGTAATCTGCATCCAGGTTTGTTCAGTAATCCACTGGAGGTCTTTGTCAAAATCTTTTGACAAGCTAATTAAAAGCAGACAGTTATGCAGCATTTGCTGTTTACCTTTGTGAAATAAATCAACTCATCTTCAAGTTTCTATATTCATATTTTTTCCACTGCCTGTCATTGTGACCTTTATGGTACAATATTATGAATAAACTGCATATTTATAATGACAGACTCAGAGTCACAATAAAAATAAAATCTCCCCGAAAAGATTTTTTAACCAGTGTTTAACTCAATGACATAAGTGTTCACTGAACATTGAATTTGTCTGGGATTTTGTACAGAGTTTTAGAGGCACACAAATGAAAAGAAAAGTCACTGTCCTTGAGGACCTCATGACATACCAAATATTCTAAAACCTATTGTTAGAAATTTTCAATATTATATTGCTCTTTAAATATTTCTTATGAGTTATTGGGATATATTTGTCTCAAGATATAGGATATATATTAACGGGATACATTTGTCTAAATTCGTGTTTCTTTTACAATATTAAATTCCTCATAGCAATATATATTCTCAACCAACTAACCCCAAAAAGGTTACTGAAATAAGAAAATAATTTTTTTAAAAAGGTTGATTTTGTTTTGTTGCTGATTTTAATACACATTTTGGAATAATACTGCAGTGGTTTTATAGGATAAGCTGATGCCTTGAGGCAAATATAGTTTATATATTCCCTAGTGGCTGACAAGTGGAAACTGGAATGAACTACTCTTTATATCAATATCATCCTTCAGGATCATTTTTGCTTTAACAAACTCCTCCTACCTAAAGATTCAAAGTAGGTCAACTTTTCTTCTAGTAATCCATCTCAGACTCCAGCTCACAACTAGGCCAAGAAGCTTGACCAGGCCAGCTGTTGCCCCCATACTGCAGGTTTTGAAAATCATATTGCAGGATTTTCAGTACTTTGGAAAAAAAATCTTGAATGAACACAGTATGAACAGAATGGGCTATCATACTCTGACTAATGTGCTAGAAAATGTTTCTTCAAGCAGATATAGGAGCATCAAAGACAACTTATTTTTAAAAATCTTTGAATACTTTAAATCTAGTGTGAATCAATGCAAATAGCATTGCTGTTAAAGTCGAGTGATGTTGCTGTGTTCTTGGCATTGATTCTTCAGTATAAATATAAAAAACAAGCCAAAATAGCATTACTACAACATCAATGTCCTTTTGTTTTGCTTTTGCTATAATAGACTACAAAATAGCACTTACTATATACCAGTCTCAATTCTATGCACTTTACAAAGATTAACTCATTGGATTCCCCTTAAAAGCCATATGAGGCAGATACAGCTACTATTTCCACTTTGCAGATTAAGAAATTGAAGCATCACTAGGTGAAGTAATATGTTCAAGTTACAACTTAATAAGGGGTAGAGCTGAGTTTCCAAACTAGGTGGTTTGTCTGCGTATTCTTAACTCTTAACCAAACACATTGAAGCTTTTGATGCAAGTTTATATTGAGATAACTTTGTATTGATTTACTTTTAATCTAGTCAAAATAATAAATGCATTTAGACCTACAAAATAATAATAACTAGAAGCCTTCTGCTCACTACTAAAACACCCCAATTCCTACTGATGCAAAGCAACCACTTTAATTTTCTTTTTTATATATTTTGCCTATATAATTCTAAACATAAAAAAAAACCATACTGTTCTTTCTTGATTTTTTAAGTGCACAATATTTTCTACCTGCTGTAGAGATGAGTCTGTGCTTTTACGCCATGGACACACATGTACATTGACTCTTGCCGTCTCACTAATTGTACTTTATCATTTTTCATTAAATCAGTATTCATAGTGACATCATACTATGTAAATCTTATGCCTGGTTAAAGCCACAGAGATCACATATTCATTCCTGTACAACTTTTAATTTTCCCTGAAGTTGCTAATTGCCTCATTACATTTTTTACATTTCTGGGTACGTACCATTAATTCATTCCCAAGTATCCTGACAACTGTCAATTTTTTTTGCAATATATTAAAACCCACAGTTAATCTATCAAGTACTTTTATTTCCTATCTATGAAGACCTCTTTCTTGGAGTCCCGTGCCTTCCTGTAACCATCTGAACTAGAGTCCTTTCACTATGATTCTGGGCAGCTGTCTCCCATCTGGTCTAGGATTGGTCATTGTTCCTTATGGACATTTTCAGTAAATTTCCCAGTTTGCACCATCACTTTGCAGCCCAGCTTCAAGAGGATGCAGTGTTACCAAATACCCAGTCTTTCTAAGAATAATAATGTAAGCAATTAATGACAGCCTTGATTCTATCTCACATGTATATACTCCCATTCTCATAAACATAGGTTTCAAATTTCTATATTCTACCAAATAGATAATTTAGCATATATATTATTTAGTGTATATATATATAAAGTATATATATACTTAATATATTAATACATGTATGTATATATATGTGTGTACACACACAGCCAAACCTCACATACACACACACTCACACACACATAGATTGTGTGTGTGAAGGAGAAACCGTATGATCCTGATAGACCTCTTAGTGGAGAAGATGGAGCTGACAGTCTGAGACCAAGTGGCTAGAGTTCACTGAAGACAGTAACAGAGAGAAAGGAGTTACACAGAAGTGCAAGATCAATACAAAAATCAAACATATTTCTATATACCACCAACAATTAAACAAAAATTGAGAATAGAACAATACATGCACATATCCACTCCCACCATCCTACCAATGTAATATATAATATATATATCATGCCTAATAACATATATATCATTTATAAAATCAAAAATATATAATACATATCTAATAACATAAAAATATAGATAAATCTAGAAGAATCATTAAAAATCAGTACACTGAAATCTACCAAAATAAAAAAGACCTAAATAAATCGGTTAATCCTGTTGATAGGAGAGTCATTATTTTTAAGATATCAAGTCTCATAAATTGTTCAATATATTCACTATATATTCTAAATTAAAGCTTTTTTTGTTTCAGTTTTGGTAGAAATTGACAGGATGATAATAAATTTAATACAGAAATGCAAATAGTCTAGAATAGTAAAATCGTTGAAAAACAACAGTGTTGAAAGGCTAACAATACTTGATTTTAAGATTTATTATAAAGCTACAAGTAATAAAAACATAGATTTGACAAAATATAGACACAAAGTTAAATGGAACAGAATAAAGAGTATATAAATGCGCCGGGTGCAGTGGCTCACGCCTGTAATCCCAGCACTTTGGGAGGCCGAGGCGGGCGGATCACGAGGTCAGAAGATCCAGACCATCCTGGCTAACACGGTGAAACCCCGTCTTTACTAAAAATACAAAAAATTAGCCGGGCGTGGTGGCCGGGGCCTGTAGTCCCAGCTACTAGGGAGGCTGAGGCAAGAGAATGGCGTGAACCAGGGAGGCGGAGGTTGAAGTGAGCCAAGATCGTGCAACTGCACTCCAGCCTGGGCGAAAGAGAGAGACTTTGTCTCAAAAAACAAAAAACAAAACAAAAAACAAAACAAAACAAACAAAAAAGAGTATATAAATAAACCAACACATATATAAGCAACTAATTTTTGATAAAGCTACAAAGGTAATCAGTGGGAAGAGATAAATATTTTCAATATTTGTTGCTGGTAAATTAAAATATACATATGCAAAAATTTAACTTTTGTTTATACCTTCCACCAAATAAAATATTCAAAATAGATCACAGACCTAAAGGTTAAACATAAAAATATAATAATTATGAAAGATAAAATAAGAGACTTATGTTAACGAATTCTTGGGAGCGACATCATAAAAGAAGAAATTAATAGAATGGACCTCACAAAAAACTTTTGGTTTTGAGAAACTGTTAAGAAAACAAAAAGATAAGCCACAGGCTGGGAGAGAGTATTTGCATCATATATCTGTTAAAATAAATTTATGAGCTATATATATTGAGAATATATATGCATATTAATATTCCATATAAGACAAACAGATAAATGATATGCAAATTAATAGCTATAGGGAAATAAATAGACCTTTCAAAACACAATAATAAAACAAGCCATTCAATTAAGCAAAATTGGGAAGTGTTTTGAGCCAACAGTTAACAAAAGGACATATGGAAGGCAAATAAGCACGTGAAATAATTTTTGTCATCAGTCATTAGAAAAATGCAAATTAAAATCACAATGGTATACTCATATACTTATTATAATGTGTAAAATTTAAAAGGCTGATTATACCAAGTGTTGTCAAAGATGGGGAAAAACTTGTGCTCTTATATTCTACTGATGATAAAAAAAGTGATACAATCACTTTGAAAAACAGTTTGTCATTTTCTTAAATTGTTAAACATTTACCAGACAAATCACTCAGCATTTCATTCCTAGATCTCTATTCAAGGGAAATGAAAGCATGTGTCCATACCAAGACTCATACATTTGTTCATAGCTGTTTAATTTATAAAATTCCAAATTTGGTAACAATTGAACTATTCATCAGTCAATGGATAAGCTGTGGTAAATTCATATGCTGGAATACTACTCAATAAAAGAATGAACTATCAACAAAGCAATAACATGGTTGAGTCTCAGAATAATTATGCTGAATGCAAAAACCCAAGTGAGAACAAATATCTTTATGATTTGGTTTACATAAATTTCTAGAAAATGTAAATTAATCTAGCGACAGAAAGAAAGTTAGTTATTGCCTGAATTGGGCAAGGAGTATTGAGAACAGGAAGTGAGGGGGAAAGGAATCAAAGACACAAGGAACATTTTGGGTGGTCTATAAATTTACCGGACTGTGATAATGATTCTTAATTGTACAGATGTCAAAACATTTCAAATTGTACACATAGTAATAAATAAGTCAATACAAATTAAGGGAAAAAAGCCTTTGCTTTCCTGCTTTCTTGTCTTTAGAAACAATATGCCTTTTTCAATTTCTTCATTTTAGTGTGTGGTTTCTTTAAATTTTAAATTTTGTTTTTCTGTTTTGTATGGGGAGGTGAAACTGACTTCAGATAAATATGCATATATATTAAGGCATGTTTAACCAGAAGAAACATTTATTTTCAGTTTCTAGTTTATTTTATTTTAAGCTAAGCTTCCATTAAATAATAAGAATAATGTTAAATTTTATTTAGCAAAAGTTTTGAAATTACAAGGTAGTCAATTTTCATGGTCTCAGCAACAACTGGCATACTATACCCTATCTCTTAGTAAGAAATGCTGTGTAGCACAATGGAAACATTGAATGAATAATTGCTGGCTCATAGCCTATAATTTACTTTTTACCATACCTTCAAAACTTGTGGGCATGGTAGGAGGTGGGATTATGAAAGAGTACTGTAGATTACAAAGTGTTATACAAATGAAGGTGACCCTCTTACTCGGCCAACTGAAGAAAAGTTATGAATCAGAACTGGTTGTTATAGTCAGATTCAGGGATAACGGTCTATATAACTAATAGTACAAGGATTCCTGGAGAAAAGGCTTATTTTATAATTGTGTCCTTAGAAGATATTTGACAGAAGCAGAAAGGGGTCCTGGACATCACCTGGCCCTAACTGCTCCAGATGTACAAACAGAACAATGCTAAAATCCCACAAGCTGTCATTTGTCTATGACACCAAGTTACACAAAATTACCAGATTCCTATCAGGAGGCTATGGACTGCTTATTCAGTCTGATTTTACTACACCCAAGACCTTTGTTATCTAGAAAGAACTTAGTGGTTAAAAATCCTAACTTTGGAACCAAACTGCCTCAGTTTGCATCCTTCCTCCTCCACTTATTAGACATACACGTACTTTAAGATAATAATATTCACACAAATTTACTTCTCTTTCTTCAGATATGTGATTGTATTGCTCTTGCCTCTGAAAGTTGGCATGACCCTGTCACATACTTTGACTGAGGAAATGTGAACAGAACATGTATCATTTCTGGGAAGAAGCTTTAAGATCTAGCGCATGATTTGTCATGTCTTTTTGCTTTTAACCAATTGACAGGGAAAGCTGGTGTCAAAACGAAAAGTTGTTCAGCTTGGGTCCCTGAGCAACAATATTGACCATCAACTCCTATAAACTCACTAACACATAGTCTTAGTAGTCTAACCTGTAGTAGTCTAAAATGCAGTCTTGGTGAGGAATGAACTTTTGTTTTGTGAAGACCCTTGAAATTTGTGTGTTTATTGTAGCTTAATCTTACTTATCCCGAACAATATTGTGTGCAACCTTAGAAAGTTGCTTAACCTGTTAGCCCCTCACTTTCCTCAGGTGTATAATGGGAATAATAATAGCATTTTCTCCAAGGCATTTTATGTGAATTAAATAAGAACATGTAAAGTTCTAAGAATATAAAAAACACATAGTAATTATTAGTAGTAATAAATTATTATCAGTACCTCCCTGGAAAAAAATGAATAACCCAGTAATTCTTATTCATATTAAGCTACTATTTAATGAATTCTAACTATAAGCTTGTTGATAGAGTGATTATTTTATATAAAATATAAAAAGTAATCCTCGTGACCATGTTATAAAATTTTATAAGCATTATATCAGGTACATAGTTTCTATAAATGAGTACTGAGAAATGCTTGTGTGGCTTTGTTAATGACAGCAAATGTCCTCTTTCTTTTCAATTTCAGCAAATGTGTTAATTTTTACATTTTCATTAGGAGGACTTAACTGATTATCAAAACATACGAAAGTCGATTAGAGTTCTCAACACCATAAGATTTGATTTTTATATTGGTTAGGTTTATTCTGACTGCTCTAACAAATTGGCCCAAACATGTGTAATGGTTTCCATATAATAAAATTTTACTTCTTCATATAATATCAGCTGTGTTTATATATCAGTGATGAATCTCTCCTGCTTATAGTCATTCATGAACCCATGTAGACACAGACTTTGCCATCTTCAAGAGTCCAGGTTCCCTTGCAACTTGTTTCCATTGCAGCACTCTAACTGGAAACAGAGAAAAAGGCATAAAAAAGCCTACACAGGAGGTTTTATGTACCAGATTTAGAAGTCAAATACATCATTCTGCTCTTACTGTGTTAGATATGATTTAGTTAATCACACATAAAGAGAAACTTAGAACAGTTTTTTAAACAATACGCCCAGAAAAAGAGGCAAACATAAATTTTTGTGGAGCATGTAGCAGTTTCTGCATAAGTTCTTTAGATCCTGAGCTCTTCTGTAATTAACAGAAATATCCACTCAAGGTACTGCCTAATATAATTTTAACATATTTATTTCAACATTTTCATCTTGTTAATGTTCCTTCACTTTTATTCATTCTCGTTTTGCTCCTCACAACAACCCTCTGAAGGATAAGAGAGGTGCTATTATTATTCTCCACTTAAAGCTGAAAAGAAATTGAAATAAGGGTTAAGAGTCCCTGGGTCAAATGGAGCAGAACTACTTAATACGGAAATAAAGTGGCTCTGGTTAAAAGAAATAAAGTAAAGCTTGATTCCCAAGCCTGCAGAGAGGCCTTAGACTAGATCTTATTTTAATAAGTCTTAATTCTTAAGAACATTTTAAGATGTATATCTTTACTTCATGATAAACTTAAACTATTTATTTCTACTTTTTTTCTTTAAGAAAAAAAGATTGTATAAGATCGAGGTGTTATACATATAAAATTACTGTACTTTAAAAAATGTGTGCACATGTACAATCTGACACAGTCTTTTGTTACCCTCATCTCCAAAGGTCAACTCATCCTATGCGAATGAAATGGGAAGGGAATTGGAATTTAATGAGCAGGTGTATATGTATGAAGCAATCTGCTAGTTTTCTGCATATATTATCTCACTTAAAGAAAGCTTCAGGACAGCAATATTATCTAAATTTTACATGTGTGAGCCCTGAAGCTAGAAAAATTAATGTTTCCTGTGAATCATAAAGTCAGATTGAAATTATAGAAGATTACATTTTCCTGAAATAGTGGTGGGAGAGAACTATGGGAATTATCATGGAAACTGTGAAGGTAATTTTCTAGAATAGTTATGACAGAAATGATGGGAGAAATTTACATAAATCTATACCAGTCACAGTCACAAATATCGCCCTTAGAAGAACTAAATGTTGATATTTGAAACGTAAAAAGCTCCATTGTGTTGATGGCTTGAGAAGTCAAATGACAAAATCTCACTTTGACCTAACTCTACTATTAAAAATAAACTGTAAGAGAATGGAGAAGTTAAAGATTTCTTTTTTTAGTAACTTGTGTTTTTTACCCCTTCAAGTCCAACTGGGAGAGTCTTGTGCCAAGAAATTCATGTATCTCAAGTACACAAACTGACACCTTGGCAAAGGAATGAGTAATTCTTCAGTTAATGGGTTAGAAAGCTCCTGGATGCAGAATGCCAAATAGCAGTCCTAGAGTACATTCCAATTGCTTGTCTTTTATTCACATATGTTTTGAGCAATCCATTACATTTGTAAGAGAAACAACTAATCTGTGTTATTATTGTTGCTGTCACCTTGGAATTCCAAGATGAGAACGTACAATTTAGAATTCTCTTTCACTGTGTCATGTAAAAGCCATGTGATGTTGATCAAGCCATTCTCTTTTTGAGCATCAGTTTACTCACCTGATAAACTGAGAGAATAATACCTACCTTGCAAGTCAAGAACATTAGAAATATACAAATATTAGAAAGAGTTTTTAGCAAATACTAAATGCCCATCATATACTTATAGTTGATATTGTTATCTTTGTGATGATAGTGAGGATGATGACATTTGGCCTTCAAGCCAACTCTGTTAATAATACTAAGATACCTTCCCAGTGGTTATTTTCATTTTAGGCATGATAATATTTAGTATTAACTTACATTGACTAAAACCTTTACATTGGGGATGACATTTTCAAACACATCATCTCATTTAATCCTCAAAATAATCTTCCTTGTGTAGAAAAGGGAGAGAATATAGTAGTTCCCATTTTAGAAATGAAGGGAATCTAAATACTGGTGTCTTCTGGCTAACATGACTCTTATCCAATGCTACTTCTATTGTACCTCAAGATTTCCTTGAGAAACAATTTTTAGTACTGAACACAAACATGACATTGAGCATAAAACTGATTCACCAAATTCAGTTATTTGATTCAGAAAGGCAGGTCACTACTCTCTATTTATCCAAAGCAGGATACAAAATACACGTGGCACAAAAGTATCACTAAATAATTTCCCCAGATAGATTTGATGCTGAAGTGCCTTTGCTCTCACCTAGGATGACTTGAACAAAGGACCTAATGAGACTTCTGTATCCTGGAGCCAGGAAGAAGTGAGAGCAAGCTCAGATATTGCCCTTGCCCTCAGAGAGCAAAGAGTATAATCCCAGAGAAAAATGACAGAATGACCATTTAAAAATAGAGCACAGTAAGTGCTTTGATGTGGGTACAAAGCAGGGCTAGGCAGCTGCATGACCAGCGTGCTGGCATGGGGGGTAGCAGGAATAGAATAACTGGATACCAAAGAGTCACCACCTGGTAATTAAACATGCTTTTGATGTATGGTTGGTTGGTTGATTGGTTAAATCAAAAACACACAAGAGGAGTCAGCTTTTCTATGCTACATATTCTGTAGATCAGCAGCATTCTTTATGTACAGAATAACAGATAGAGGGATACAGGCCTCTCTGAAAGACACATGATTGTACATGGCAACCTGGCCCAAACATTTTAAGAACATGGAACCGCAGAACTAGAAAATGCCTGTGATACAGACATCCTCAGAGTCTTCATGCTAACAGGCTCTTAGACCACCTGTGGAGTCTTTCTTAGGGTGACTCAAGCAGAAAGGCAGAGCCCTGGAGCACAAAGCCTTAGAAATGCTCAGTACTTTAGAGTTAAGGGTGGGAAGTAATCTTCAACTTTGAAAATTAACTGATAATGACTAGGCCAAATTTTAGGGCCAAAGTCAATGATTTAGAGTTTAGGGGAGAAAATTCAGCCTGAGAAGGGGAAGATAGAAGTTCCTATGTTGGCAACAACCAGGGAAAACACTTGACCTGGATTCATCCAGTATCTGGGTGTGTGCTTCAATTCCATGCTCCATGATTTGAGGAATAGGCAAGGAATACAGAAACTGTTATGCTATCCTGATTAAGTTGAATGAAAAATAAAGCCTTTTGAGCTTGTACATGGTTCATGAATCAAATGCTTGAAGTTGCAGAAGATTAAGCAGAGAATAGAAACATCACCAAAAAGACCAGTAGATGAGAAAACACATCAATCTGATAAATAAGTCGACCTAATTTAGTAAGAATTATGATTTTTCACATTAGCCTGAGGCCACTGCTTTTTTTTTTTTTCTCCTAGGATCTTTATTATGTTGTTTCTTGAGGTAAAGGCCAAAGAGAAGCACCATTCCAAAGATCTGAATTTATTTTCATCAACTCTTTAATCTACATAGTAATCCTATGAGGCTTACCTCACAACAATAAAGTATTATTACTATGCTCTGCTATGAGTTTTTAACAAATACAGAAGATTTATATAGGCAAAGTGGCATCCAGTAAATGATGGCACCAGAACTAGGTTTTTATCTTCCAGATGTTTCTAACTCCATTTCCCATGCCCTCTCGCTCCCTGCTTTTCTCTTTCCCTCTTTTCTTCTTCAATAAGTTTTTTTGTACCAGTGTTTTTTCTCAATGAAAAATAATATATGAAAATTTATAGTAAAAATAAAGTACATTTTTGAAAAAAGCATTGAACACATGTAGATAGTTATTATTAATATTTTGATGTGCTTCCATCACTTTACAAGAGTATATGTTGAGTATACATGTAGACTCAAGAGTACAAAAATGTCATCGTAAATGCATACAAATTTGGAAATCTGCTTTTTTAAATAATATAGTTAAAATATTGTCCATATAATTACATATTTCACTTTTCAGAATATTTTTATAAAAATGATATTTTCTCATTAAAATTTTATATAACAGAATGATATAAACAAGTCAAAAAAGTCAAAAATCTCTTAAATCTTTCATCAGAAATGAACACTGTTAAGATTTTAATAAATAGCATTTAACTTTCTCTCTGTGTATATACAGAAAGTGTGTGTATATATATAATTGTTAATGTGTATATATATGCGTATATATGTGTGTGTGTATATATATATGTGTATATATATATGTGTGTGTATACATATATGTGTGTGTGTGTGTGTGTGTGTGTGTATATATATATATATGTATATATCAGGTTTTATACCCTATATGCCTTTTGAGCTTCTACATTGCGCATGAATCAAATGCTTAAAGTTGTGGAAGATTAAGGAAGAGAATGGAAACGTCACCAAAAAGACCAGCAGATGAGAAAACACATTGATCAGAGAAGTAGATAAGTGAATCTAATTTAGTAAGAATTATGATTTTTCACATTAGCCTGAGGCCACTGCTCTTATTTTCCCCTAGGATCCTTGTTATGTTGTTTCTCAAAAACATGTGTATGTGTGTCTGTGTATGTGTATGAGATTATATGATTATATGCATAGGATCATGTTTATTATTTTCCAAACTCTGATTTTTTTTCAACAATATAGTTTGAATATCTTCCTATATAATCATTTAAAAAATAATTAAAGTAAGGAGAAAAAAAGACAACACATGTGAACTATTTTAATATTGAATGTAGTGGAGTGAATTTCTGGTTTTAAAGCCAGATTATATGGGATCAAATCTTGTTTCCCTGTGTGATGTTGGGTAAGCCAGTTTTCCTCTCTGTTTTTCAGGTTTCTTATGTGTAAAAGAGGGATAGTTACAGGACTAACTTCAAAGGCTTTTTGTGAAGATTAAATATGTCATTTTCTATAAAGCTTATAAAAGAGTACCTTGCAAGGTCATAATACTGTGAGTGCTAAATAAATGTTAGCTGCTATTATTGTCGTTAATTGTTGTTTTAGTGTATGTCATGACATATAGTTGTCATATTGTTAATGCTAATTAATGCTATTTAGGTGTTTACTTTTTTAATGTATACTTTACATAGTATCACAAAGAACTGTTTTTATGCCCCTCGGAAAAAATAAGATGCTAACAAATAAGTCTTTTATAAGTGACAGTCATTTGTAATAGCTGGAGAGATTCAATGTAACAAAAGGCAAAAGGCCAGGGGTAATCAATGAAGTCCGCTTTGTGTGTTTTACAAGATCCTCATGAGAAAGAAGCTTAGGCCAGTGGTGATTAGTTTCAACTCGTCTAGATTGAATTTCTGAAAGGATGTAGAAAACCCTGAATGTGGCTTTCTGACATCTCAACTTCCAACCATGTAATCCTGAAACTCTGAAAATTACCTTTTATAATAACTTTTGTAATGCTTTTAGCAATTCATGTCACGTGGATCAAACAGGGTTCTGAATATAATTTCTAACTGTGCCACTGGCCCTATCTTCTTTTTTCACAATTTATGAAAATATGACCATACGTCACACATGCACAAGTTCATAGCAAGTAAGGGAATGATGATCAGACTGTCAACCAAAGCTTTCCTGTTCTGTAAAACGGAAGAGAACTAGAATCCAGGCCTGGGTGGGACCTATCACAATGTATTTTTGTGTCTTCTTTACTTCTTATACTTCTTTATTTCCTTGGGTAAATTCCTGCTTGTGAATTGTTGGGTAGAGGATTATGTACAATTCATGTGGTGATATAATTGTTAAGCTGTACAGAATGAACAAATGTGTATTCCTACGAACAGTTCATGGGAGAAGGACTTCCATAATGAGGCATGGGGCTAGGTTAGTGTTCCACACTTCCAATGGTACATATTCCCGCATCAGGGAGGGTTCCAAAGCCATCACCACATGGAACTCACTGTCAATATGTTGGTCCAGGCCCTGATCTACTCTCACCCAAAACCTTCTCAAAAGTCTCCAAAAGTGCCTCTCTGAGACCACTCTGACACCGCTTCAATTTACCCTTTCTCATTGTTGTTACACAACAAAAACACAGATAGTAACAATTTTACAACAAGAAAATAATTGTCTTAAATTTTGTCCTAAGTGTTGTCTGATAAACAAAATGTCCAATTATATTATCTCTAAAAAATCCTTAAAGAAAAATAATTACCTGGGAGTAACTGGAACTTAACGCTACCTAAAAGACAACTGAAGGATGCACATGTATCATAAGGTAACACTCAAGACTGTACCTTAAATCCTGCTACACTGGTTAGTGCAGTTGTAATTATGAAAATTGCACCGTTTTGTTTTATTGATTAATATTTTTGGCTTAGACCCATATATGCATGCCTTTTATAATTTGTATACCAAAGTAAATTCTTCTGTGATAAAAAGTGCAATACAATATCCAAAGCTTGTGAGTTCAAATTTGTGTTTAGTCTTCTGGGAGCAATACAGTCAGTTTAAATATACACTTCAAAAGATTTAGTGAAAACTATATGCATTTGGTACAAAAAAATATGATACTTAGAATCTTTTTTATTGTTTCTAAGGAGACTTTGCCTCTTGAATTTTTTTCTGGGGCACTGACTATTGTAGTAAAAGACCAGAGCCTCTCCGCTTAGAAGGAAACATGCCTGCCCTTATCCTTTTATCTTTACATCTTCAGAGAGACAGAAGGAATAATGGTAAGGTCCAGTAAAAAACCAGTAAGGAGTGACTTAAGTCTGCTGCAATGGACTTTATGTCCTGGAGTTCAAAGCAGTCTATAGCTCCCTAAAATTATTGCCTCTCTAACCAGAAATATAATTTATATTCAGGAATTAAATAAATGGTACTCATGTCCATATATTAAGTTATTTTGCCACAGACTGCATCTCCCTCTCAAAATCTGTGGCATCTGTAAACAGTTGATGTACATTAAGGGAAAATTTTTTTTTGTTGTTTTGTTTGTTTATAAATATAAAAAATTCTATATAATTACAAGAAAAATATTGACATATAATTTAGAATTATCTAGTAATACAGCACCATTTACTATTTCCAAATCTCTCTCTCTCACACACACACACACACACACACACACTCACTCACACCTGGTCCCAAGCCCTATCTAGTAGCTGAATACAGCCCTGCAGCAGCTTCAGACTCTGAGATAGAGTCTGAACCAAAATAGAGTAGATAAAACAGGCTGTGATTAGTCCCACGGCTCAGTACTGATTTAGTATCAGCACTGCACCTGTTCTGTCAGCTTTTGTGTTGTGTCACTGGTCTTTTTGCCTGTGTTGATATAACTATTTTGTATTGTCTTTTTAAACACAATTTAGGTCATGAGATAATTATATTTTTCTACACCTTTAAGTTTCTGAATAAAATTCTCTTGAGGGCTTTTGTCTTTCAAACAAAATAATTATATATATAGCTATTTCTATTTCTTCAAGTAATGCCAGAACCCATGCAGTTATGGTAGATACAATATTGTGATATAATCACAACATCAAAATTGAGACATGGTTGTTTAAGAGATAAACAGAGTTGTAATCTAAAACTTGCTATTATTTCCCTTAGGTGGGAGGTGCTAGAAAGCTGCAAATAAGGTATATATTTTTACTATTAGCTCTAGGCCATGCCAAGAGCTGGCAATACAGTATCTGTGATCATTTTAGAGTTTATTCTTCAGATATTTTCAGTCACTAATATATGTTCCTTGTAGTGATATGGTTAACATTGACCGTACAGACAAGATAATACTATTGCTTTGTACAGTCATAAATTCATACCCATGATAAACATAGACTGCCAAAATTTGCCTGTCATTAAGTGATTCAATTTCTTTGGCTTCTTCGTACCTGTTCTTTTGACAAGCATGAAAACATTTGCTTGTTTTCTCTGAGGATTTTCAGTGTCTCTTTACTGATAAAATAGCCATATACTGAATAGTCACAATCAGAGTTGTTCTATGAGTTCCAACTTCATCCTTTTCCCTGTTTTTATATTAAAATAACTTTCCTCCAAAATACCTTTGAGTGCATCAAAAGTTCAGCTCAATTTTTTCAATTTTTTTCAAAGTTCCATTTTTAACATGAAAACTTGTGTATCATCCCTTATAAATGCATCTCTGCCAGCAAAGTTTTAAATAATGTGGAGTAAATCAAATTGTTATATCACATGCAATTAAATTGATAAACAATTCAAACTAAGTGATGTAGTATTCTCAAACTACATTATAGAATTAGAAGTGGAATGTAATATGACAGACAACAGTATGTGGAGTAGTTGAAAGAAGGGATTCTGGGATGAATGTTGCTGATGTTGGCAGAATTTCTCTCTTTTTTTTTTCTATTTCTTTTTTTTTTAATTATACTTTAAGTTTTAGGGTACATGTGCACAATGTGCAGGTTAGTTACATATGTATACATGTGCCATGCTGGTGTGCTACACCCATTAACTCATCATTTAGCATTACGTATATCTCCTAATGCTATCCCTCCCCTCTCCCCCCACCCCACAACAGTCCCCAGAGTATGATGTTCCCCTTCCTGTGTCCATGCATTCTCATTGTTCAATTCCCATCTATGAATGAGAACATGCGGTGTTTGGTTTTTTGTCCTTGCGATAGTTTACTGAGAATGATGATTTCCAATTTCATCCATGTCCCTACAAAGGACATGAACTCATCATTTTTTATGGCTGCATAGTATTCCATGGTGTATATGTGCCACATTTTCTTAATCCAGTCTATAATTGGTGGACATTTGGGTTGCTTCCAAGTCTTTGCTATTGTGAATAGTGCCGCAATAAACATACGTGTGCATGTGTCTTTATAGCAGCATGATTTATAGTCCTTTGGGTATATACCCAGTAATGGGATGGCTGGGTCAAATGGTATTTCTAGTTCTAGATCCCTGAGGAATCGCCACACTGACTTCCACAATGGTTGAACTAGTTTACAGTCCCACCAACAGTGTAAAAGTGTTCCTATTTCTCCACATCCTCTCCAGCACCTGTTGCTTCCTGACTTTTTAATGATTGCCATTCTAACTGGTGTGAGATGGTATCTCATTGTGGTTTTGATTTGCATTTCTCTGATGGCCAGTGATGATGAGCATTTTTTCATGTGTCTTTCGGCTGCATAAATGTCTTCTTTTGAGAAGTGTCTGTTCATATCCTTTGCTCACTTTTTGATGGGGTTGTTTTTTTCTTGTAAATTTGTTTGAGTTCATTGTAGATTCTGGATATTAGCCCTTTGTCAGATGAGTAGGTTGCGAAAATTTTCTCCCATTTTGTAGGTTGCCTGTTCACTCTGATGGTAGTTTCTTTTGCTGTGCAGAAGCTCTGTAGTTTAATTAGATCCCATTTGTCAATTTTGGCTTTGGTTGCCATTGATTTTGGTGTTTTAGACATGAAGTCCTTGCCCATGCCTATGTCCTGAATGCTAATGCCTAGGTTTTCTTCTAGGGTTTTTATGGTTTTAGGTCTAATGTTTAAGTCTTTAATCCATCTTGAATTAATTTTTGTATAAGGTGTAAGGAAGGGATCCAGTTTCAGTTTTCTACATGGGCTAGCCAGTTTTCCTAGCACCATTTATTAAATAGGGAATCCTTTCCCCATTTCTTGTTTTTCTCAGGTTTGTCAAAGATCAGATAGTTGTAAATATGCGGCGTTATTTCTGAGGGCTCTGTTCTGTTCCATTGATCTATATCTCTGTTTTGGTACCAGTACGATGGTGTTTTGGTTACTGTAGCCTTGTAGTATAGTTTGAAGTCAGGTAGTGTGATGCCTCCAGCTTTGTTCTTTTGGCTTAGGATTGACTTGGTGATGCGGGCTCTTTTTTTGGTTCCATATGAACTTTAAAGTAGTTTTTTCCAATTCTGTGAAGAAAGTCATTGGTAGCTTGATGGGGATGGCATTGAATCTATAAATTACCTTGGGCAGTATGGCCATTTTCACGATATTGATTCTACCTACCCATGAGCATGGAATGTTCTTCCATTTGTTTGTATCCTCTTTTATTTCATTGAGCAGTGGTTTGTAGTTCTCCTTGAAGAGGTCCTTCACGTCTCTTGTAAGGTGGATTCCTAAGTATTTTATTCTCTTTGAAGCAATTGTGAATGGGAGTTCACTCATGATTTGGCTCTCTGTTTGTCTGTTGTTGGTGTATAAGAATGCTTGTGATTTTTGTACATTGATTTTGTATCCTGAGACTTTGCTGAAGTTGCTTATCAGCTTAAGGAGATTTTGGGCTGAGACAATGGGGTTTTCTAGATATACAATCATGTCATCTGCAAACAGGGACAATTTGACTTCCTCTTTTCCTAATTGATACCCTTTATTTCCTTCTGCTGCCTAATTGCCCTGGCCAGAACTTCCAACACTATGTTGAATAGGAGTGGTGAGAGAGGGCATCCCTGTCTTGTGCCAGTTTTCAAAGGGAATGCCTCCAGTTTTTGCCCATTCAGTATGATATTGGCTGTGGGTTTGTCATAGATAGCTCTTATTATTTTGAGATACATCCCATCAATACCTAATTTATTGAGAGTTTTTAGCATGAAGAGTTGTTGAATTTTGTCAAAGGCCTTTTCTGCATCTATTGAGATAATCATGTGGTTTTTGTCTTTGGCTCTGTTTATATGCTGGATTACATTTATTGATTTGCGTATATTGAACCAGCCTTGCATCCCAGGGATGAAGCCCACTTGATCGTGGTGGATAAGCTTTTTTATGTGCTGCTGGATTCAGTTTGCCAGTATTTTATTGAGGATTTTTGCATCAATGTTCATCAAGGATATTAGTCTAAAATTCTCTTTTTTGGTTGTGTCTCTGCCCATCTTTGGTATCAGGATGATGCTGGCCTCATAAAATGAGTTAGGGAGGATTCCCTCTTTTTCTATTGATTGGAATAGTTTCAGAAGGAATGGTACCAGTTCCTCCTTGTACCTCTGGTAGAATTCGGCTGTGAATCCATCTGGTCCTGGATTCTTTTTGGTTGTTAAGCTATTGATTATTGCCACAATTTCAGCTCCTGTTATTGGTCTATTCAGAGATTCAACTTCTTCCTGGTTTAGTCTTGGGAGAGTGTATGTGTCCAGGAATTTATCCATTTCTTCTAGATTTTCTAGTTTATTTGCATAGAGGTATTTGTAGTATTCACTGATGGTAGTTTGTATTTCTGTGGGATCGGTGGTGATATCCCCTTTATCATTTTTTATTGCGTCTGTTTGATTGTTCTCTCTTTTTCTTTATTAGTCTTGCTAGCAGTCTATCAATTTTGTTGATCCTTTCAAAAAACCAACTCCTGGATTCATTAATTTTTTGAAGGGTTTTTTGTGTCTCTATTGCCTTCAGTTCTGCTCTGATTTTAGTTATTTCTTGCCTTCTGCTAGCTTTTGAATGTGTTTGCTCTTGCTTTTCTAGTTCTTTTAATTGTGATGTTAGGGTGTCAATTTTAGATATTTCCTGCTTTCTCTTGTGGGCATTTAGTGCTATAAATTTCCCTCTACACACTGCTTTGAATGTGTCCCAGAGATTCTGGTATGTTGTGTCTTTGTTCTCGCTGGTTTCAAAGAACATCTTTATTTCTGCCTTCATTTCATTATGTACCCAGTAGTCATTCAGGAGCAGGTTGTTCAGTTTCCATGTAGTTGAGTGGTTTTAGTGAGTTTCTTAATCCTGAGTTCTAGTTTGATTGCACTGTGGTCTGAGAGACAGTTTGTTATAATTTCTGTTCTTTTATATTTGCTGAGGAGAGCTTTACTTCCAAGTATGTGGTCAATTTTGGAATAGGTGTGGTGTGGTGCTGAAAAGAATGTATATTCTATTGATTTGGGGTGGAGAGTTCTGTAGATGTCTATTAGGTCCGCTTGGTGCAGAGCTGAGTTCAATTCCTGGGTATCCTTGTTAACTTTCTGTCTCGTTGATCTGTCTAATGTTGACAGTGGGGTGTTAAAGTCTCCCATTATTATTGTGTGGGAGTCTAAGTCTCTTTGTAGGTCACTCAGGACTTGTTTTATGAATCTGGGTACTCCTGTATTGGGTACATATATATTTAGGATAGTTAGCTCTTCTTGTTGAATTGATGCCTTTACCATTATGTAATGGCCTTCTTTGTCTCTTTTGATCTTTGTTGGTTTAAAGTCTGTTTTATCAGAGACTAGGATTGCAACCCCTGCCTTTTTTTGTTTTCCAGTTGCTTGGTAGATCTTCCTCCATCCTTTTATTTTGAGCCTATGTGTGTCTCTGCATGTGAGATGGGATTCCTGAATACAGCACACTGATGGGTCTTGACTCTTTATCCAATTTGCCAGTCTGTGTCTTTTAATTGGAGCATTTAGCCCATTTACATTTAAAGTTAATATTGTTATGTGTGAATTTGATCCTGTCATTATGATGTTAGCTGGTTATTTTGCTCATTAGTTGGTGCAGTTTCTTCCTAGTCTCCATGGTCTTTACAATTTGGCATGATTTTGCAGCAGCTGGTACCGGTTGTTCCTTTCCATGTTTAGTGCTTCCTTCAGGAGCTCTTTTATGGCAGGCCTGGTGGTGACAAAATCTCTCAGTATTTGTTTGTCTGTAAAGTATTTTATTTCTCCTTCACTTATGAAGCTTAGTTTGGCTGGATATGAAATTCTGGGTTGAAAATTCTTTTCTTTAAGAATGTTGAATATTGGCCCCCACTCTCTTCTGGCTTGTAGAGTTTCTGCTGAGAGATCCACTGTTAGTCTGATGGGCTTCCCTTTGAGGGTAACCCGACCTTTCTCTCTGGCTGCCCTTAACATTTTTTCCTTCATTTCAACTTTGGTGAATCTGACAATTATGTGTCTTGGAGTTGTTCTTCTCGAGGAGTATCTTTGTGGCGTTCTCTGTATTTCCTGAATCTGAATGTTAGCCTGCCTTGCTAGATTGGGGAAGTTCTCCTGGATAATATCCTGCAGAGTGTTTTCCAACTTGGTTCCATTCTCCCCGTCACTTTCAGGTACACCAATGAGACGTAGATTTGGTCTTTTCACATAGTCCCATATTTCTTGGAGGCTTTGTTCGTTTCTTTTTATTCTTTTTTCTCTACACTTCCCTTCTTGCTTCATTTCATTCATTTCATCTTCCGTCACTGATACCCTTTCTTCCAGTTGATCGCATTGGCTCCTGAGGCTTTTGCATTCTTCACGTAGTTCTCGAGCCTTGGCTTTCAGCTCCATCAGCTCCTTTAAGCACTTCTCTGTATTGGTTAGTCTAGTTATACATTCGTCTAAATTTTTTTCAAAGTTTTCAACTTCTTTGCCTTTGGTTTGAGTTTCCTCCTGTAGCTCGAAGTAGTTTGATCGTCTGAAGCCTTCTCTCAACTCATCAAAGTCATTCTCCGTCCAGCTTTGTTCCTTTGCTGGTGAGGAACTGCGTTCCTTTGGAGGAGGAGTGGCGCTCTGCTTTTTAGAGTTTCCAGTTTTTCTACTCAGTTTTTTCCCCATCTTTGTGGTTTTATCTACTTTTGGTCTTTGATGATGATGATGTACAGATGGGTTTTTGTTGTGGATGTCCTTTCTGTTTGTTAGTTTTCCTTCTAACAGACAGGACCCTCAGCTGCAGGTCTGTTGGAGTTTGCTAGAGGTCCACTCCAGACTCTGTTTGCCTGGGTATCTGCAGCAGTGTCTGCAGAACCACGGATTTTCGTCATCCGTGAATGCTGCTGTCTGATCGTTCCTCTGGAAGTTTTGTCTCAGAGGAGTACCCGGCTGTGTGAGTTGTTAGTCTGCCCCTGCTGGGGGGTGCCTCCCAGTTAGGCTGCTCGGGGGTCAGGGGTCAGGGACCCACTTGAGGAGGCAGTCTGCCCATTCTCAGATCTCCAGCTGCGTGCTGGGAGAACCACTGCTCTCTTCAAAGCTGTCAGACAGGGACATTTAAGTCTGCAGAGGTTACTGCTGTCTTTTTGTTTGTCTGTGCCCTGCCCCCAGAGGTGGAGCCTACAGAGGCAGGCAGGCCTCCTTGAGCTGTGGTGGGCTCCACCCAGTTGGAGCTTCCTGGCTGCTTTGTTTACCTAAGCAAGCCTGGGCAATGGCGGGCGCCCCTCCCCCAGCCTCACTGCCACCTTGTAGTTTGATCTCAGACTGCTGTGCTAGCAATCAGCGAGACTCCATGGGCATAGGACCCTCTGAGCCAGGTGCGGGATATAATCTCCTAGTGCGCCGTTTGCTAAGCCTGTCGGAAAAGCGCAGTATTCGGGTGGGAGTGACCCTATTTTCCAGGTGCCGTCTGTCACCCCTTTCCTTGACCAGGAAAGGGAACTCCCTGACACCTTGTGTTTCCTGAGTGAGGCAATGCCTCGCCCTGTTTCAGCTGGCGCAAGGTGCGTGGCACCCACTGTCCTGCACCCACTCTCTGGCACTCCCTAGTGAGATGAATCCAGTACCTCAGATGGAAATGCAGAAAGCACCTATCTTCTGCGTCACTCACGCTGGGAGCTGTAGACCGGAGCTGTTCCTATTCGGCCATCTTGGCTCCTCCCAGAATTTCTCTTTGCGTCTTAGTATCTCGATGATAACAACCATGCCTAACTCATATTGTATGCTAAGGATTAAATGAGTTAATATGTGTTAAGAAGAGCAATAGCTTACATGTAGAGCCATAAATTAAACTATCATTTTTAACAGTTTTCAAGACTTAAAATTACAATTTGGCTTTTCCATTCTTAAAGAAAATGCAGAAGCTCTTCCTTCACTACTTCCTTTTTCTCAGAAATCTCTTTAGTAGATTGAAATGTGATGTACACTTTCCCAGACTATATACACCAAATAAGGTTCCTCTGTAACCAGACATATTACAGATTTAATTTTTAAACATTAGTATTATTGGAAAAAGCATAGTTATGATTACTGAATGTTATTATCAGTATTAACCTCAGGTATATCATCCCAGAGAAGAGATACATTTCCTACAAAACAAGCAAAGCAAAAACAGTTGAATAGATTATGATGAACTTATGGAATTTATGGAAAGTAGAAAAGCAATCTAAAATAACAAATTTCAAATTTTTAGAAAATTGGAAGGCAAGTAGGTCCAAGTTGTTGTATGATAAAAACAATAAATATAGGATAAAATAAAATCACAATGCTTAGGCAAATATTTCAGAAAAAATTTCAAGTTGAAGTTTGAAGAATGGGCAGAGTTTCACCTGTAAGTGCCTGCAAATCCAACTCATACCCAAAAAAGATGTAGAAACATATTAGTTTAAGTAACTAAAAACTTTAGAAATTGGTTTGGCTTAAGAAAAGGATCAAAAAAGCTGCTAAACACTGTCATCCAGCCCAGTTACTTTAATGTACCAATCCTGTTTTCCCTAGACCTGGCTTCATTCTAAGGGTAGCTTTACTTAAGTTCCTGACATAGTTCCCAGAATATTTCATGGCTAGATACAGCAAAAAGGAAGCATTTTTTTGTTATTGTTATTGCAGTATTCCCAACATAATGAAGGGCTTAAAATTACTCCTATGTTTCCGACTTAAGCAATTGTTTGGCTGTATTGTATTGCCAAATAGATAAAAATCATATAAGAGAAAAATTAATTCATGGGAGACAATTCTCCATGAGTCTTCCATTTCTGTACATCCTCCGAGAAAGGCACTGATGACCCTTTCTTTTGGACTATCTTTTCAAGGATGTGTACATAGTGAATAGGATTGGAAGATAAAATTAGTGTCTTTCTGTAGAACAAAAATCAGATTGTACTAGATGCTTCTCTCTCTCATACCCCAGTTCCAGTCCACCAGAAACTATGTTAAATATACCTTAGAGGCATATCCAGAGTTTAACAACTTCTTCATGTATCTATGATTGATTCTGCACCATCATCTTTTGCCTTCATTAATGAAACCAACTCTAAACTAGTTTTTCTTCTTCTACCTTACCTCGTTACCTCCATTTACAACACAAAATGAGATCGAACCTTTAAAAAACATAATTTAGGCCAGGCGCAGTGGCTCACACCTGTAATCCCAGCACTTTGGGAGGCCGAGGCAGGTGGATCACTATGTCAGGAGATCGAGACCATCCTAGCTAACACGATGAAACCCCGTCTCTACTATAAATACAAAAAAAGAAAAAAAAAATAGCCGGGCGTGGTGGCGGACCCCTGTAGTCCCAGCTATACCAGAGGCTGAGGCAGGAGAATGGCATGAACCCGGGAGGCGGAGCTTGCAGTTAGCCTGGGCAACAGAGTGAGACCGTCTCAACAAAAAAACAAAAAACAAACAAAACAAACAACAACAACAACAAAAGTCATAATTTAAATCTTTCACTCAAAACTATCCAAATGGCATGCCATTTCAATGAGCAAATTCCAAAGCCTTTATTGTGGTCTAAAAGGCCTGACACAATGGATTAGCCTCCCATTCTCATTACCTCTCTGACTTTATCTCTTACTGTTCTTCTCCCTGCTTATACAGCTCCAGCCATGCTGGCTTACATGCTGATCCTAAAATGTGCATGGCATACTTCTTAATTTAGGATATTACATTTCCTGTTTCTTCTTCCCAAGGCATCCCCCAACTGTCACTATGGCTGCCTCTCTCGCCGTTTTCATGTGTTTGCTCTTAGATTACCTTTTCTCTTTTTAAAAATTGTTGTATGTATTATATATATACACACACAGAGGAGAGGACCTCATTCTGTCACTCAGGCTGGAGTGCAGCGGCATGATTACAGCTCACTGGAGTCCTGGAGCCTCAACCTTCCTGGGCTCAAGCTAACTTCCCACCTCAGCCTCCCACATAGCTGGAACTACAGGTGCATGCCACCACATCCATGTATTACCTTTTCAATGAGGCAAACTCCTGATCATCTCATTTATACTTAAATTGTCGCTTGTCTTCCTCCTAAGCCCTTATTCTTTTTCACCTCCATTTTTTTCTCATTTCCACATTACTAGTCACTTTCTAACATCCTACCATATAATTTACGATATACAGAGAATCTTTATTCTTCTGCTATAATTTAAGGTCAAGAAATAAACATATTTTTGTCTATTTTTAAATTGACATTTTCAACCACCTAGAACAGTGTTTTGCATGCAAAGTCAGTGCTCGATAAATATTAGGTTAATGAATTATGAATTCAACTCTCTAAAATTTTCTGTGGAAGAAGGCAATACATACTTATATACATATATAATTGCTGATTATAATTGTTCCATTTCCATGCTTTTCTTAATAGAAGTATATTTGAACAATGTTAACAATGCTCCCAGTGGGACCGAAGACTTCCTAGTAGGATTTTAGTTTTAAATATATTATTGGTCATAGCCTAGGCATATTAGGGTCCCAGACAGGAGTAGTCTTTGTTCAAAACACAGTGTTGGGACTGATTAGCAATGCTTTCTCACTAAAGAAAGAAAATATAGGTCCCATGTGGAATTTACAATAAATGTGTCTTCAATGTTTGCTACACATTTTTGTGTTCTTCTTAGGAAAATATTTAGTAAGTTTCAGGTTACACATTTTTATTTTTCTCTTAAATAACCTTTCCCAAATTTTGATTGTGTAATGCTATCAGAGTGATTTATCTGCTTTAACCACACAGATTCTAGCACAAATTTGGGAAGTATAATTATTTAGATCAGAAAAAGCACAAGTGACCTGATTAAGGTATTAAACATTAAGGAAATACAGAAACATGAGATCTATGTGTCATTGCCCCATTAAGATTGGATAATACAGGAACTAAACACATAGCAGTGAAGACATTAAGTTAAATGTTATTATTTTACAAAGTAGAAGTTAAATTAATGAACTTTAGAACTAATACATCATGTATGATATATGTTGTTCATGTCTTAATTGAAGAATCTTAAATCTAGGGTTCAAAAGAAGCAAGCAAATTTTTAAAAGCCTATTAACTTTATAGTATAAGTGTATACGTTTAGACACTAATGATATTAATCATATAGAAAGCAATCCAAAATAATATTATCAAAACAGAATTATTGCAAATAACACAATTCTTAATTCTTGAATGTCTGAAATAAAAAATGTTTAGAATAAAATTCTTTGTTGTTTAATTACTAAATTTTTAAGTTCTGAATGGAGAATTTCAAAATGCGCACATTAAATACATTTCATAATTGTGCTGAGGTGAGGATATTACTATTCTGGAAATTAATAACAAAAATGATACTTTAGAGAAATAATCTTTTAGAAAATAGAATAAGATTTGATGGGAAAAGAAGAGACAAGTAGAGAAATGGAGAACATAAGAGAGTCTTAAAATGACCCATATACAGTTAACTAATACTTTACAAAAGAGTAAAGGCAATTCAATGGGAAATGGATAGTCTTTTCAATAAATGGTGCTGGAACAGTTGAACATATACAGGCAAAAAAATAGGAATCTAGTTACAGACCTTACACCTTTCACAGAAATTAATGAATTTAATTAATTTAAATTCATTAACTTAAAATGAATCATAGACCAAAATGTAAAAGATAAGGCTATAAAACTTCTATAAGATAACACAGAAAATCTAGGTCACCTTGATGATGATGTTTTAGGGACTATAAAGGCATAATCTATGGAAAAAATAAATGATAAATAGGACTTTGTTGAAATTAAAAATTTATGCTCTGTGAAAAACTCTGTCAAGAGAATGATAAAAAAACCACAAACTGGCAGAAAACATTTGTGACAGACATATCTGATAAACAACTGTCAGCCAAAATATATAAAGAACTTTTAAAACTTAATAATAAGAAAATGAACAACCCAATTTAAAAAATGAGTAAAATACCTAAACAAACAGCTTACCAAGGATGATATATGGATCACAAATAAGCATGTGAAAAGATATTCAATATCATACATCATTTGAGAATTAAAAATTAAAACAAGTTTCCACTACACACAGATTAGAATGGCTAAGATCCAGATCACTGACAACACCAAATCCTGACTAGGATGTGGAGCAACGGGAAGTCTCTTTAAATTGTTGATGGAACACAGCATAGTATAGTACAGCCACTTTAGTAGATAGTTTAACAATTGCTTAGCAAACTAAACACACTCTTACCATACAATCCAGTAGTTGTGCTTCTTGGTATTTACACAAATGATTTGAAAACTTACATCCCACACTAACATGCACTTGGGTATTTATAGCCGCTTTATTCATAATTGCCAAAATTTGAAAGCCACCAAGAGGTACTTCAGTGGGTGAATGGATAAACTATGGTACATCCAAATTAATATAATATTTAGTGCTAAAAAGAAAAAAAAGTTGTCCACAATCACTGCATCAATATGTCAAATTCAAATACACACTCATTTGTATATACATAATACCTTGTTTAGATCAAAATGTTATTCTTAAAAAAATAGCTTATAACAAGAAAAATAGAAAATAAAAAATACAATTTTACAAAGCTTCATAAGAATAACTGGGAATGTCAGGCATGGTAGTACACCCTGTAGTCCCAGCTACTCAGGAGGCTGAGGAGGGAAGATAACTTGAGCCCAGGGATTTGAGGCTTCAGTAAGCCATGATCGTACCTGTGAATAGCCACTGCACTTTAGCCTGGATCTCCTTTGTGAAATCCCATTTAAAAAGAAACTGAGAAAATAAAGTGATTTCCATTTACTTCTCATCTCTAAAAACACCTTGACTACTCTGTATTATTTGTAACTCAATTTAGACAAAGTGCCTCTATCAAGATTGTATGGTCTACTGGGAATACTATAAAAAGACAAAATTCTCTATGGTTTCAGATGCTAAACTAGCAGAGCCAGTAAAAGAGGGGAATCTGATGTAATCAAGGCTTAATCGTGTAATACAATCATTACAAGCAGTGGGATGAGGAAAGAGGTCATAAGGGAAAATAGGTGGGTCTAGTGAGTTTCATAGCATAGGTGCTATGCTTTGGGTATGGTTTGTTTGTTCCCGCGAAATCTCCTGCTGAAATTTAATCCCCAATGTGGTGGTGTTGGAAGATAGGGCCTAGTGGGTGGTATTTGGGGTAAGGGGACAGATTCTTCATGAAGAGATTAATGCCCTCCTTCATGGGTGAGTTCTCATTCTATTAGTGTCCACAAGAGCTGTTTGTTAAAGAGTCCAGCATCTCCTCTCTCTCACTTCCTCTTTTCACCATGTGATCTCTGCCTGCACATGTTGACTCATCTTTGCTGCTACAATGAGTGGAAGCAGCTGGAGGTCCTCGCAAGATACAGATGCTCAGTATTGAACTTTCCAGTCATCCCAATTCTAAGCCAAATAAATAATTTTCTTTATAATTACCTAGTCTCAGATACTCCTTTATAGCATCACAAAATGGACTAAGACATCGAGCCTTGGAGTAACATGCCCACTGAGGGAAATTCCATTTTGATCAGTACTAGCCTGGTGTGAGAAAAATAGGCTTAGTTCCAAAAAAAATGAACTTCAACTTGTCTGACCACAATACTGAGACAAAACTCTCCACATGACTAAGTAATGGCGTTAAGATAGATGATAATATCAATAGCATATTAGAATGAGACATTGTTTATGTAAACTTTTATCACTATGTCTGAGAAGATGCCTTGGAATTCTCTTTTTGAAGAAGGTATAAAATACAACTGTATCAAAATGTCATTAATATGGTCTTAATTTTGAATAAACAGACATAAATTATTTTATTATGATCTGCTTTACTGCACTTTACAGATATTGCATTTTTTAATAAATTCAAGTTTGTGGCAACCCTGCATCAAGAAAGTCTATCAGCATCATTTTTTTCCAATGGCATGTGCTCACTACATATCTCTTTGTCACAGTCTGGTAATGTCACAGTATTTCAAATCTTATGATTATCATTATTATTATCGTTATTATGGTGATCTGTGATCATTGATCTTTCATGTTACCTTTGCAATTGTTCTGGGCATCATATTCGACAGTGAAATTAATTAGTAAATATGTATGTATTAGGTCATTCTTGTATTGCTCTAAAGAAATACCTAAGACTGGGTAATTTATTAAAAAAAAAAAAAAAAAAAAAAAGAGGTCTAATCGACCCTTGGCTCTGCAGGCTGTACAAGAAGCATAGCACTGACATAACTTGGCTTCCAGAAAGGCCCCAGGGAGCCTTTATTCGTGGTGTAAGGTGAAGTGGGAGATTGTGCAAACGTGGCAAAATTTGGAGCAAGTGAGGGAAAGTGAGGTGCCACACACGCTTAAACAGCCAGATTTTGCAGGAAGTCACTCTCTATCACAAGGATAGCACCAAGGGCATGGTACTAAAGCACTCATGAGAAATCTACCCCCATGATCCAATCACCTCCCACCAGGCCCTACCCCCAATACTGACAATTAGAATTCAACATGAGATTTGGGCAGGGACACATGTCCAAACTATGTCAGTCTATGTTCTGACTGTTTGACCAACTGACCATTTCCCCATTGTTCTCCCTCTTTTTGGGCTTCCACATACCCTGAGACACAGCAATATTGAAATTAACCCAATCATAATCCTACAATGGCTTCTAGGAGTTCAAGTGAAAGGACGAGTAGTACATATCACATTTGATTTTATTTTGTTTTGTGTTTGTTTGTTAGGTTGTTTGTTTTTTGAGATGGAGTCTCGCTGTGACAACCAGGCTGGAGTGCAATGGCACAAACTCTGCTTACTGCAACCTCCACTTCCTGGGTTCAAGCATTTCTCCTGCCTCTGCCTCCGTAGTAGCTGGGATAACAGGTATTTACCACCACACCTAGCTAATGTTTGTATTTGTAGTAGATACAGAATTTCACCATGTTGGCCAGGTTGGTCTCAAATTCCTGACCTCAAGTGATCTGCCTGTCTCAGCCTCCCGAAGTGTTGGGATTACAGGCATGAGCCACTACACCCAGAACTGGTCCCATTTTAAATCAAAGGCCAAAAGGTAGGCCTCTACGACAATTAGCCAAGTTGTGAATACAAATAAAAATGATCTTGAAGAAAATTAAAAGTACTACTTCAGTGAATACAAGAGTAAAATGGCCTCATTTCTGATTTGGATAAAATTTTAACCATTTGAATAAAAGATCAAATCAGCCACAACACTCTCATAAAACAATGCCAAATTCAAAGCAAGGCTCTAAGTCCCTTCAATTCTATGAAGATTAAGAGAGCTGAGATTGTTGTGGAGGTAACATTTAAAGATAGCAGATTTTGCAATCTATCCATCTGATAAAGGGCTACTATCCAGAATCTACAAGGAACTTAAACAAATTCACAAGAAAAAAAAAACAACCCCATAAAAAAGTGGGCAAAGAATATGAACAGACACTTCTCAAAAGAAGTGGCCAAAAACATATGAAAAAACGCTCAGCATTACTGGTAATTAGAGAAATGCAAGTCAAAACCACAATGAGAAACCATCTCACGCCAGTTAGAATGGCAATCATTAAAAAGTCAGGAAACAACAGATGCTGGAGAGGATGTGGAGAAATAGGAACACTTTTACACTGTTGGTGGGACCGTAAACTAGTTCAACCATTGTGGAAGACAGTGTCAAGATTCCTCAAGGATCTAGAACCAGAAATACCATTTGACCCAGCAATCCCATTACTGGGTATAAACCCAAAGGATTATAAATCATTCTACTGTAAGGACACATGCACACATATGTTTATTGCAACACTATTCACAATAGCAAAGACTTTGAACCAATCCAAATGCCCATCAATGATAGACTGGATAAAGAAAATGTGGCACATATACACCATGGAATACTATGCAGCCATAAAAGATAATGAGTTCATGTCCCTTGCAGGGACATGGATGAAGCTGGAAACCATCATTCTCAGCAAATTAACACAGGAACAGAAAACCAAACACCACATGTTCTCACTCATAAGTGGGAGTTGTACAATGAGAATACATGGACACAGGGAGGGGAACATCACATACCGGGACCTGTCTAGGGGTCGGGGGCTAGGGGAGGTAGAGCATTAGGACAAATGCCTAATGTAGATGATGGGTTGATGGGTGCAGCAAACCACCATGGCATGTGTATAACTATGTAACACACCTACACGCTCTGCACATGTATCCCAGAACTTAAAGTATAATAATAAAAAAACCCTACAAATAACATAAAATTTAATAAACCACAGGGAAAATAGCAGAGTTAGGCTCATGAGGATGGAAGAAAAATGCCCTCTTTCTAACACAAAAGTGCAAAGTGAAACAGCAAGTGATGATCTAGAAGCTGCAGTAAATTATCCAGAAGATCCATTTAAAAATCATTGATGAAAATAGCTATACTAAGAAATAGATTTTTGTTTGTGTAAATGAAACAGCTTTCTATTGGAAGAAGACACCATCTAGAACTTTCATAACTGGAGAGGAGAAGTTTGTACCTGGCTTCAAAGCTTCAGAGGACTGACAGGCTAACTCTCTTATTAGGGACTAATGCAGGTGATGACTTTAAGTTGAAGTCAATCCTCATTTACCATCCAGAAAATCCTAAAGCCCTTAAAAATTATGCGAATTTGCTCTGCCCATGCTCTAGAAATTGAACAACAAATCCCAGATGACATTTGTGTATAGCATGTCTTACTGAATATTTTAAGCCCACTGTGGACACCCACTACTTGGAAAAAAAGACTCCTTTTGAAATATAACTGCTTATTGACAATGAACCTGGTCACTCATGCCTTCTGAAGGTGACGTACAAAGAGATTAGCATTGTTTCCATGCTTGCTAACACAACATTCATTATACTGACCATGGATCAAGGAGTAATTTCAACTTTCAAGTCTTACTATTTAAGAAATATATTTTGTAAGGCTGTATCTGTTTCCTCTGATGAATCTGGGCAAAGTAAATTAAAAATCTTCTATAAAGGAGTCACCATTCTAGATGTCTTTAACAGCATGTGTGATTCATGAAAGGAGGTCAGAATATCACCATTACTCAGAATTTGGAAGAAATTAGTTCTAACTCTCATAAATGAAGGGTTCAAGACTTCAGTGGAGAAAGTAACTGGAGATATGGTAGAAATAGCAACAGAACAAGATCCTGAAGACATGACTGAATTGCTACAATCTCATGGTAAAACTTGAATAAAGAGTTGCTTCCTATGGATGAGCAAGTTAAGTAATTTCTTGACATGAAATCTACTGGAGAAGATGCTGTGAACATTGTTGATAAGACAACAAAGGATTTAAAATATTACATAAATTTAGTTGATAAAACAGCAGCAAGACTTGAGAGGATTGATTCCAATTTTAAAAGAAGTTCTACTATGGATAAAATGCTATCAAACAGCATCACATGCTACAGAGAAATCTTTTATGAAAGGAAGAGTCAATTGCTACAGCAAACTTCATTGTTTCTCATTTTAAGAAATTGTCACAGCCACCCCAACCTTCAACAACCATAGCCCTGATCAGTCAGAAGCTATCAATATCAAGGCAGGTCTCTTCCTCGGCACAACGTTGTGACTCAATCTAAGCTCAGATAATTGTGAATATTTTTTAGCAATTAAGAATTTTTAAAATTTGGGTATAGAGATTTTGTTCATAGACATAATGATACAAACATAACCTTTATATGCAGTGGGAAACCCCCCAAAAAGTTTAAATTGCTGTATTGCAATATTTGCTTAATTGGGGTGCTCAGGAACTGAACTCACAATATTTTCTTGATATACCTGCATGTGCTTATATATAGAGGTTATAGGTGGGTCTGAAATTAAGCTGTTTAAGAAACTTTAGGAAATTAATTATTAAGCTTAGAATATTTGCATTCCATCTTCATTAAGATATTGATGTTAAATTTAATTATCTTCATAAGTATATTTAATTTGTCCTAATAATTTTTGCTAAAATATTTAATACACATGTACATATATGCAAGTACACTTTGATAAAATCCAATGAAAATAGTAGAGGCAGGTTTTTATATCTGAAATACGGTCATTGTGCCTGAAGGCCAATGGCACCTAACACATTACTTATCACTATATAAATACTTGTTAATAACCACAGTTGTAAAAATAATATGTCTGAAATCTAAGACAGGCTTACAACTTGTTTGATGGGGGTGACCCACATTTCAGGTGTGCATTACATCAGGGAATAATTTCTATTAGGGAGACGGATCAAGATAATTCATTAGTGCTTAGTGACTTAAGAAGTATATTTGCATCTGTGGAGTGTATAGGCATAAAAGTTTTTTTTCTAATGAATTATTATTAAAGTTGATTAGTATATCTAGAACACACAAAAGTGAATTGACTGATGATTTTGTTGTATTAGTACCTATCTAAAGATCTAACATGAAATGACATAATCCAAGAGCAGGTTTAACATTTTGGTTGTAATTAGTACTGTATATTGATGTACCTAAAATATTGAAAAAGAACATCAGAGTGAAAATGCAGAATATCTGTCAACAAAGAGACTCAACTCAGGAATATATTGGAATCACATAAAGTATAATTTTGCAGTGAGAATAAGTTCAACAACAAAAATGTAAAACTGCCTAAAGAATCAATCAAAAGAGAGTTAGAGAACAGTTAACCAATTAAAAGTATTACAACCCCAAGACCAAGACATAGTAAAGCAACCTAAAAAATAATATAAAATAATTGTTTAAAATTATTAAGATGATAAAAAAGAAACCAAAAGCAAATTTGAATAACGAAGACACAAATACAAATAACATATACACACATGCTAAATTGAAAAGGAACTATATCACAATCCTAAATATAAATAACTCACTGATACAAAGCATTAACCTATGGATTAATGAGAATATTAGATACAGAAGATGAAAATTGGTAAAGAGAGAAATCTGAAGAAATTATGCCAAATGCAATTTATAGAAAAAATCAAGGGTTGCTCAAGAAACAAAGGGTAAAGTAAAAATGTCCTATATATCTAATAGGTCATTGGTTGATTCAATAATTTATTGATATATTCATATATCTGTACATGTATACATTAAAATTTGTTTATAGTCCTTAAAAAATTTTTAGAGTTTGGAGAAATATTAATTTCCTCAAACATGGACGAATGTGAGAAGTAAAAATAATGTTATAGTTGAGGAATTTTTGAGACAGACTTTAAAGAAAGACTAAAACTCCCTTAGTAGCTTTGAAAAACACTATAGTAAATTTTATTTTGTGTTTGGGTTCTAAATCATCAAATTAAGAAGATTCTTTACTTTATGTTGTTTTTGTTTTGAGTGGCAATCTTGAGGTTTGTGCTGGAATTGACACAGGAGGGCTCATGATTTTAAGTAGTCTAATAGAATCAGAATCACTGCAAGAGCAGAGAGAAAATTTCTAATCCTAAACTAAATGAGCAAGGCTAAGGTAAAAATGGAAAACCAAGAAATAGTTCATAGTAGAGAACATTGGGAGCAGGCATGGAGTTGGGGAAAAGCGAGGTCAGAAGGGTGGAGTGGTTAATGACTTACTCTATGAACTGCAATCATGTTTCAGGGAATTATTTCCACATGGTACCTTGCAATTTCCTAGTATACTGATGAATATTGACATCAAGTAGGCTATGTATTTTTGAATGAATACATAGCACCTTACTATCTTATATAAACACATAAAGACCAAACATAATTTTAAGAAATAAATTTACTAGTGATTATTGATCACTACATTTTGCCTAGTAGATGGTGCTGAGTAAAATATTTATGCAGTTTAAAACACAGCTTCTCTTAATTCTAGAAAAAATAGAGTTAATTATTAATCTTATGAGGAAAAGAATGCAAGATCTGGCAATAAAGGAGTAATTACAAATATATATGTGTACATGTGTATCACAGAACAAAAGTAAACATAATAAATTTACTTCAACATAAAGGATTTTATATATATATATACATGTAAAACTATCAGAATTTCATGACATTAAGTTATAATATTCGAGATTTTGAAGCTAGTCTATTATTCTGGTCAGCCTGAGGAGCAAAAAGAAACAATAAAATGTATGAGAAAATATAAAAACCTGTTTCATTTAATATTTCAAAAATTGATAAATAAGCCTATAGATTTTCTTATTTTTTGTACATTAATGGACAGCAATATATGTTAAATATGGCTTGCAATTTTAATAAACTAGTTGCAATGTAATTACATTTGATTTCAAGTGTTTCTACTGAACAAGTAATATACTAACCTATCTGTGCCATAACTGTGCATCTTTCCTTCCATGCTTATAATAGTTACAGTTGTTAAGTCATGAAAATATCTAGTTGCAGCAGAATGTTAAAGTTGATTGGGCCTTAAAGAACATTTTCAATCTTAGCAGCTTAAATGTGAAAGAACCAAATATCTAAGAGTTTGAGTTATTTTCCCAAGATGACCTGTCTAGTTAGAAGCTGATTTGGTTATATTCAAAAATAAGTCAAGTTGAGCTGGGCGCGGTGGCTCACACCTGTAATCCCAGCACTTTGGGAGGCCGAGGTGGGCGGATCACGAGGTCAGGAGTTCAAGATCAGCCAGGCCAACATGGTGAAACCCGTCTCTACTAAAAATACAAAAATTAGCCGGGAGTGATGGCACGCACCTGTAATCCCAGCTACTCAGGAGGCTGAGGCAGGAGAATCACTTGAACCTGGGAGGTGGAGGTTGCAGTGATCTGAGGTAACCCCACTGCACTCCAGCCTGGGCAACAAAGCGAGACTCCATCTCAAATAATAATAATAAGAAGAAGAAGAAGAAGAAGAAGTAGAATTGAAACAGAATTAGTTATTCACAGCCCCAAGGAAATGCAATATTTATACCAGTGAGGATAAAATTAGAATATTTTCACCTCACTGTGTTCTTTAAAAATTTCATCTGCTTCTGCATTTTCATAAATCTTTAAAACATTTTTCATTTGGTTCAAAATTTGACATTAAATAAAAAGAAAAATTTAAGATTGTCTCTGTTAATTCCCAATAGAAAAGAACATCATTATTCTTCAATATTGCTAAAAATGGAGATCCCATAAGGCAAATAGATACTGGGTGCTCTACAAATTCTTCACAAAACAAAGCATCATTTTTACTTGAGTTAACTGATATCTTTTTATTTTTTTTGGTGTTTATTCTAAAATAATTTCCACATTTTATTTTTTTCAGACTCTAATATACACAAAACTCTTATAGCGTAAGTATATGAGTGAGATTTTAAACTAGAAACATTTAATTACATTTAATTTGGTTTGATCTCGGATTTACTTTTATTCTCTTATTTTTGGTCAAAAGTCAGCAACATTTGTAAATTGACTATAAATTCCCTTACAGTTACAAATATGATGTCAAACATTGAGATAAAAAGTGAAAAATTGAAAAGCTTTCCATGTATGTTTGTGGATTTAGCTTGATAAAAATACTTGCTGGCTCAGAAATAATTTTAAAAGTTAATCTATTAGCACAAGATCTAGAAATATTGCTCTTGCCTGTTCATAAAGATAGATTGCTTTGGTTTTTAAAGGATTGGTCTTAAAGTGATGTAACTCATCCCTTAAATGGGAATATTGTTGTTTATCTCAAATAATTTTTGTAGGGATGAAATGACTATATATAAAGTGCATAACCACATGTCTGGTATCTGCTAGGCAACTATTCCATGTTTGCTTCCTCTCTTTAATTATTCAAGTTTCTCTTACAACCTCTACTTATAGAAATACTGTTATTCTTAAATAACATCTTAGAAGTTCTAATTCTTCCTGGTGGAGTGAATCACATCTCCCTGTAACTAGTCTCAACAACTGACTTTTGCCTCTTTCATATTATTTTCATTTTCTTCAATATTAAATTCAGTTATGTCTGTCTACCTCTCACGAGTAATTGCGCCTAGAGTGCTTTGTCTAATACAGAATTTATCCCTGTAACACTAAATACACTCACACTTGTTCACTGAGTTAAAATAATTAAACATTGTAAAAAAAATTAAACCTGAGAAGGAAGGATGCTATGCTTTTTCTACTTAATGTTATATATATGAATAGCTAGACATGTTGTTTTGTTTGTTTATTTTGTCAATACGTAGCTAGATTATATGTCTTTGTGTTGTCAAATCATCATCTTATTTGCTTTTTGTTTTAATTTTTTATTTCAATAAGTTTTGGGGTACAAGTGGTTTTTTGTTACATAGATGAATTACATAGTGGTGAATTCTGTGGTTTTTTTAGTGCACCGATTACCCGAGTAGTGTACATTGTACCTAGTGTGTAGTTTTTTATTCTTGCCCCTCCTTCTGAATCTCTAAAGTCCATTATATTACTCTATGTCTTTACATATTCATAGCTTAGCTCCTACTTGTTTTTTCTTTTCTTTTCTTTTTTTTTTTTTTTTGAGACAGAGTTTTGCTCTTGTTGCCTAGGATGGAGTGCAATGGTGTGATCTCGGCTCACTGCAACCTCCGCCTCCTGGGTTCAAGCGATTCTCCTGCCTCAGCTTCCTGAGTAGCTGGGATTATAAGCATGAGCCACCACGCCTGGCTAATTTTGTATTTTTAGTAGAGACGGGCTTTCCCTATGTTGCTCAGTCTGGTCTTGAACTCCCAACCTCAGGTGATCTGCCGGCCTTGGCCTCCTAAAGTGCTGGGATTACAGGCATGAGCCACCACGCCCAACCTTAGCTCCCACTTAAAGTCAGAACATAGAGTTTTTGTTTTTCCACTCCTGTTACTTCACGTAGAATAATTACTTCCAGCTCCATCCAACTTGCATCAAAAGACATGTTGTTCCTTTTAATAGGTAAGTCGCATTCCATGATGTATATATATCACATTTTAAAGATCTATTCATTAGTTAATGGACACTTAGGTTGGTTCCACATCTTTGCAACTGTCAGTTGTGCCCCTATAAACATATCTGTGTGAGTGTCTTTTTTTATACATTGACTTCTTTTCCACTGGGTAGATATCCAGTAGTGGGATTACTGGATCAAATGGTAGATCTACTTTTAGCTTTTGAAGGAATCTCCATACTGCTTTCCTTAGAGGTTATACTAATGTACATTCACACCAGCAGTGTATAAGAGTTCTCTTTTCACCACATTCATAACATCATCTATTGTTTTTTGACTTTTTAATAATGGCCATTCTTTCATGAGTAAGGTGGTATCTCATTGTTGTTTTCATTTTCATTTCCCTGAGGATTAGAGACGTTGAGCATTTTTTCATATCTTTGTTGACCATGTGATATCTTCTTTTGAGAAATGTCTATTTATGTCCTTTGTCAACTTTTTTAATGGAAATATTTGTTTTTTTCTTGGTGATTTGTTTGACTTCCTTATAGATTGCAGATACTAGTCCTCTGTCAGGTGTGTAGTTTGCAAATATTTTCTTCCACTAGGTAGATTGTCTGTTTCCTCTGTTGATGATTTATTTTGCTGTGCAGAAGCTTTTTAGTTTAATTTGGTCCCATTTATCTATTTTTGTTTTTGTTGCATTTGCTTTTGGGGTCTTATTCATGAATTACTTGTCTAAGCTGATGTCTAGAAGAGTATTTCCAATGTTGTCTTCTAGAATTTTTGTGGTTTCAGGTCTTATATTGAAGTATTTAATCCTTCTTGACTGGATTTTTATATATAGTGAGAGATGGGAATCAGTTTAATTTTTTTCTACATGTTCTTGCCAAATTTCCTAGAACCATTTACTAAATAGGATGTCCATTCCCCAATTTATGTTTTAGCAGGCTTTGTTGAAGATCAGTTGAATGTATATATTTGGCCTTATTTCTCATTTCTCTATTCTGTTCCATTGACCTATGTGTCTACTTTTATATAATAGCCATGCTCTTTTGGTAACTACAGCTTTCTAACATAATTTGAAGTATAGTAATGTGATGCCTTCAGATTTGTTCTTTTGCTTAGTTTTGCTTTGTCTGTGTGGGTTCTTTTTTGGTTCCATATGAATTTCAGAATTGTTTTTACTAGTTCTGTGAAGAATGATGGTGGTATTTTGATGAGAATTGCATTAAATTTATGTATTGCTTTTGGCAATATGGTCATTTTCACAATATTGATTCTCCTCATCCATGAACATGGTATGTGTTTCCATTTGTTTGTGTTGTCTGTAATTTCTTTCAGCAGTGCTTTGTAGTTTTCCTTGTAGAGGTCTTTCACCTCCTAGGCTAAGCATAGTTCTAATTTTTTTGCAGCTAATGTAAAAGGGGTTCAGTTCTCGATTTGATTATGAGGTTGGTCACTATTGGTGTATAGCAGGGCTACTGATTTGTGTACATTTTTTTATCCTGAAACTTTACTGAATGCACTTATCAATTCCAGGAGATTTAGGGGTGAGTCTTTAGTTTTCTAGGAGTACAATCATATCATCTGCAAGCAGCAATAGTTTGACTTTCTATTTTCCAATTTGAATGTCCTTTCTTTCTCTTGCCTAATTGTCCTGGTTAGTATTTACAGAACAATGTTAAATAGGAGTGGTGAAAGTGGACATCCTTTTCTTCTTTCTGTTCTCAAGGGGAATACTTTAACTTTTCCCCATTCAGTGTGATGTTGGCTGTGGGTTTGTCATACATAGCTTTTATTCTTTTGAGGTAGGTCTCTTCTGTGCCTAGTTTTTGACAATTTTCATCATAAAGGGGTGCTGAATCTTGTTGAATGCTTTATCTGTATCTATTGAGATGATCATATGGTTTTTGTTTTTAATTGTTTATGTGGGGTATCACATTTATTGAGTTGCATATGTTGAACCATTCCTGCATCCCTGGAATGAAATCCACTTCATTATGACGATTTATCTTTTTGATGTGTTGTTGGATTCAGTTGGCTAATATTTTGTTGAGTATTTTTGCATCTATGTTCATCAGGGAACTTGGTTGTAGTTTTTTGTTGTTGTTGTTGTGTCCTTTCCTGGTTTTGATATCAGGGAGATACTAGCTTTATAGAATGACTTAGGAAGATTCCTTCTTTCTCAATCTGTTGAAATCATTTCAGCAGAATTGGTGCCAATTCTTCTTTGAATGTCTGGTAGAATTCCGCTGTGAATCCATCTGGACCTGGGCTTTTTTGTTTGCAATTTTTAAATTACTGATTCAATCTTGCTGCTTGTTTTTGGTCTATTCAAGTTTTCTATTTCTTCCTGATTTAATCTAGCAGGGTTGTATGTTTCCAGGAGTTTGTCCATTTCCTCTAGGTTTTCTAGTTTGTGTGCATAAAGGTGTTCATAGTAGTCTTGAATGATCTTTTTTATTTCTGTGGCATTGGTTGTAATGTCTAAAATTTTGTTTCTAATTGAGCTTGTTTGCATCTTCTTTCTTCTGTTTTTTATTAATCTAGATAATGGTCTATCAATTTTAATTTTTCAGAGAACCAGCTTTTGTTTCATTGATCTTTTGTATTTTGTTGTTGTTGTTGTTGTTTGAATTTCATTTAGTTCTGCTTTGATCTTTATTTCTTTTCTTCTTCCAGCTTTGGATTTAGTTTGTTCTTGTTTCTCTGATTCCTTGTGGAGTGACATTAGGTTGTCAATCTGTGCT
The DNA here is from genome assembly GCF_000001405.40 of Homo sapiens. Lineage (NCBI taxonomy): Eukaryota > Metazoa > Chordata > Mammalia > Primates > Hominidae > Homo > Homo sapiens. The sequence goes on along the minus strand of NC_000006.12, from coordinate 94,739,810 downwards.
CTTTCAGACTTTTTGATGTAGGCATTTATTACTAGAAACTTTCCTCTTAGCACTGCTTTTGTTGTATCCAGAGATTTTCATAATTTATCTCATTATTATCACTCAATTCAAATAATTTTTAACTTTCATCTTGATTTCATTGTTAACCTAGATATCATTCAGGAGCAGATTATTAATTTCTATATGTTGGTAGTGTTTTGGGGTTCCTTTTTGGATTTTATTTCTAGTTTTATTCTGCTGTACTCTGAGAAGATACTTAATATGATTTCAGTTTTTTCAAATTTATGAGACTTGTTTTGTGGCCTATCATATGATCTATCTTGAAGAATGTTTCATGTGCTGATGTGAAGAATGTATACACTGCAGATTTTGGGTAGAATGTTCTGTAAATATCCATTTAGTCAATTCGTTCTAGTATGTCATGTAAGTCCATTGTTTCTCTCTTGACTTTTTGTCTCAAAGTTCTGTCTAGTGCTGTCAGTGGATATTGAAATCTCCTGCTATTATTGTTTTGCTCTCTCTCTCACTCTGAGTAGTAATTATTTTATGAATCTAGGGGATCCAGTGTTTAGTGCATATAAATTTAGGATTGTAATGGTTTCTTGTTAAATTGATCCTTTTGTTATTATACAATGACCATCTTTGTTTTTTTTTTAATTGTTTTTATCTTGAAGTCTGTTTTGTCTGACATAAGAATAGCTACTCCTGCTCACTTTTGGTTTCTGTTTATATGGACTGCATTTTCCACCCATTTACCTTACTTTTATCTGAATTATTCCATGTTAGGTGTGTCTCTTGAAGACAATAGATATTTGGATTGTGAACTTTTTATCCATTATGGCATTTTGAATCTTTTTAGTGGAGCAATTAGGCCATTTACATTCAATGTTAATATTGAGATGTGAGGTAAAGTTCATCACGTTAATTGTTATCTAGTTTTTTTTTCCTTCTGTTATTGTTTTATAGGCGCTGTGAGTTTTAAGCTTTCAAGAGGTTTTATGTTGATGCATATTGGGCTTCTGTTTCAAGGCTTAGAACTCCTTTTTGCATTTCATGTAGTGCTGGTTTGGTAGTGACAACTCCCTTCAGGATTTGTTTTTCTGAAAATCACTATTTCTTCTTCTTTTCTGTAATAAAACAATTCCTGGCTGACAGTTGCTCTGTTTAAGGAGGTTGAAGATAGGCTAACAATACCTTCTGGCTTGTAAAGTTTCTGTTGAGAAGTCTGCTGTTATTCTGATAGGATTTCCTTCATAGGCTATCTGATGCTTTTGTCTTGCTGCTCTTAGAATTTTTTTCCTTCATGTTGGCTTTAGATAGCATAATAACTATATGCCTTGGTGAAGATCTTTTTGCAATGAATTTCCCAGGAGTTCTTTGAGCTTCTTGGATTTGGATATCTAGATCTCTAGCCAGGCTATGAAAGTTTTCCTCAATTATTCCTTCAAATAAGTTTTTCAGACATCATTTTCTCTTCCTCCTCAGGAACACAAATTATTCTTAGATTTGGCCATTTTGCATATCATATTTCTTGGAGACTTTGCTCATTTCTTTTTATTATTTTTTCTTTATTTTTGTCTGATTGGGTTAACTCAAAAGCCTTGTCTTCAAGCTCTGAAATTATTTCTTCTACTTATTCTAGTCTACTGTTACAACTTCCCACTGCATTTTGTAATAACCTCAGTATGCCTTTTATTTCCAGAAGTATTTATTGTTTTCTTGATGATATCTATCTCTCTAGAAAATTTTTCATTCATATCCTGAACTGCTTTTTAAATTTCTTTATGATAGTTTTTACCTTTCTCTGATATTTCCTTGAGTAGCTTAATAATCAAACTTTTGAACTATTTATCTGTTATTAGATTTTATCTTGGTCTGGGCTCACTGCTGCAGAGCCAGTGTGACTTTTGGGAGTATTTGCACCCTCTTTAGTCATATTACCAGAGTTATTTTTCTGGTTCATTTTCATTTTGATAGAGTAGTGCTTTTCATTGTTCTTGAATTTATGTTTGATTTGACTATGTTCTTTTATTGCTTATAATAAATTATAGTCTAATTCAGCTCTTGGTGCTTTCAGGGATGAAGGCTCTGTAAGAGATTTTGGTTATAGACAGTCTTTGAACAATGGTTTTCTCATATATTGGTTGTAGTAGCAATGTGTTCAGTGTGTAAATAAGTCCACTATCTCCTACTGGGTTGAAATTATAGAGGTCTCTTAAAGCTTATCTCTTTCTCCTGTGGAGTGCAATTTATTTATTTATTTTTCTCCAGTATTTTATTTAATAGTTTGATGGCTCAGGCTTTAGGCCAATAGGCAAGGTGTCTCTGGGTAGGAACAGGTTGTGGCTAAAGCAGGTGGATAAAGTCCCAGTCTTGACAAAAGTGGTTGGAGAAACTCTCAGTGAGTCACACTGGGGTCTTAGAAGGAGAAAGGGTTGGAGCCACATCAGTTCCCCTGCCAGGTCAGCAGGAATGTTATCCACCTCTCAGACATGCTTCTGTCCCAGTGCTGCAGCTATTCAGATCAGACAGGCACCTCTTCTCATCTGTAGGAATGTTGATGTTCCAAATAAAGAGGAATTGTGACTCTGTCTCTCATGCTATCCTGGACCCGGAGTGTGCTCCTCCTTTGTGGATGCAGTGGCTCTGATATGTTCCAGAAAGGCTGTCTATAGTTGTGCCCATGCTGAGCTCTCATGGGAGAAGCCCAAAATGTGCCTACAGTGGTAGACAAGGGAGGAAAGACTTCCTCTTCTCCAAGACCTTTCACACGCACCAGGGCTGTACAAGTCTGTTGGAATACAGTGGAAAACTTTCCCTGCTGAGCCCAGCATTTCAACTGTTCTTAAGAAAGCTTTCCACCAACCAGCAGAAGGATCTGGTGCTCAAGGCCTGCCAACCAGATTCTATTATCCCATAGGGTGTTCCCTTCATGTGGTGCACTTCTCCTTTCCCTATCACTAGGAGTCCCTGGAAGCCAGACTACTGTGAGTGTTGTGCCTCTGGGTCTGGCTGCTCAGTGAGGTTGTCACACTCCATGCTGGTGTTAGGGAATATCTGCAAGGAATCCAGTGATGTGACCTATCCTCAAGTTTCCCAAAAGTGGGTAGCTGCACCAGCTCTAATGGAAGTGGCAGGGGATTGTCAGAGACTCTGTGAAGTTCCTTGGTTATTGATAGCCATAGTGTTTTGGCTTTCTTGAACACCAGTTATAGTGGTAATGAACTAGTCATATGGACAGACTCAGGACCTCTTGGTTAGCCAGAGAGGTACAAGTAGTGGTAATAACTGAGATCATGCAGCTGTTTTCTTCTTCCTGGTTGCAGTGTTGTTCTACCAGGAGATACCATAATGGACTGTGTTGGTTGGCCTACAGCCAGGAGATGGTGCTTGCAAAAGAGCACCAGCTGTGTACTAGCAGTGGGATTTTCACTTGCCTTATGTTACTAGATGGGGACGGGGTGGGGGCGGTTACTCTGATTTCTCAGGCAATGGGCAGGGCCATGTAGTTCCCAAGAGCTTCTGTCCTTTGTGTAAGCTACCAAGGTGGGTGGTGGGGCAAAGCCAAGAAGGAGCTGGGTAGGGCAGGTTTATACTCTGAGTCTATGTGTGCAGGTCAAGCAGCAGCCCTTGTGGGTTTAGAGGGATGGGAGTAGGTAGGTCTCATGCCACTGGGTTGATATTCTAGAGGGGAGCATTGTTGCCTCTACTGCACAGAATTTGTTCAGGAAGTTGGTGTAGCAGGTGGTGATAAGCCCCACAGAGTTCCCACACACTTGGAGAGGCACACGCACTCCCACGGATTTCCATTGGCAGCAGAGAGATGAGTTCGCGTCAGCCTGTAATTAGAATTCCCCACTTTCAGAACTCATAAGCTTTCCCCATGCAGATAGCAACCACAGCTTTCAAGTCATGCCCCTCTCTGTTCCCTGAAAAGCCTGGCACTTGGCTCCTACTCACAACTCCTGCACTCATGGCTCATGAACCCGTGGCTCCTGCACTCACAGCCTGCTTTTCACTCTCCCCTACACTGGCCCTGGCCACGGGATTTTGTCACCACCAAAGGTTACATCTGGAAACCCCGTTGGGAGCTTCTTTCAACTTGTGACCACTGCCTGAACTTTTTGGCTGTCCTTCACGAGGCCTTCTGAGCAACAGTAAGTAATGGCTGCCCTTGGTCCATACTGGGATCTGGGAGTGAATTCAAGGGTCTTCCTGCCGCTGCTGCTTCTTTTATATTCCATGAACTTCCCCAAGTTATTTCCTGCTTTGTGTGAGGTTAAGGCCTTACCCTGTGCCCTGGGCTTTCAGGCTCCCCGGGGTGGGGATGTGTATCCCAGAGGCAAACTCTCCCTCTCTCACACTCTGCGTACTCGCAGCCCTTTGTCTGACTCATAGTGTAGGCTGCAGGCTCCTGCTTCCTTCTGGGATCCATAGATTTCTTCGGTTTTCCTGCTTAGTTCCTGCATCGTTTCTGGAAAAATGTTCACAATGTGAATCTCTATACATTATTCTGTGCTTCTAAACAGGAGACGTATGCTAGCAATGCCTCTAATCCCGTATCCAAAAAAATGTCATTTAACAAAGATGTTTGTAATTATTTATGTATGTTTACATTGAATTTATTCCTCAAGTTTGCATCTACATTATCAAAATGTTTTTCTCAATTTATCTGCTTTGCATAAAATCTTATTTGTTTTTATAGTGATTTCTTTCAAAGCGTTAAATTTAATTTGAATAGCATAGCCAATATCTTGCTAATACACTGAAGTTCAGTTCTAGGTCAATTCTGGGTATAACTTCCAGTACAAGTACAGGCTAGTATTACTGTTAAGAGACTAAGGAGAAAATTCTCCTTTGGATTATGTGTAATAATGACTAGGACCATGTGTTTTGATACTTCTAAGAAAAGGCATCCAAAATGCTTTACATTAAAAAGTAAATTCTCCCAGTTTCACATATTATATCTGAACTTTTCACTTGAATATTATTGCACATGAAGTGACAGGGAAAAAGAGACATTTGATTATATTTTAATTGTAGGTCATTGATATTATAAAATGTAATTAATAACAAAAAACAGAAAAAAATAGAAGCTCCAGATATAAATAATTAATGTAGAAATATTTGGTTTACAATATAGGAAAGTATAAGAGAGCTTTAGACCTAGTCTCAATATCTATTTCATAATATTTTCATGTATAATTTAGTATTTGTTTGTTTAGATGGAAGATGTTTTCCTTCAATTATCCAGATTCTTCACTTCTCTAAGTGTTACATGTCATTTGTTATGAGCTGTATGAATATAGAGTTCAATACAGGCTGAAATGTTCCAAAAGAAAGTAAATAAATAATTGTTATTTGTAACAAATTTATTATACAGTTGCAACTTTATCTCTTCAAAAAGTTAAATGTAGTGTTTTAAAATTAAATACCCCAGATGAAAAGGCCATCCTAAATTATGAACCTGTGTTTTGCCATTATTCTTCCAGCAAAAAAAAAAAAAAAAAAAATATATATATATATATATATATATATATATGTATATAATTTGTTTGTAATCAGGGACAGTTATTCAAGTGACTTTTTTGGGAAAAGCAATAAGATCTGAACTAGTCTAAGCAGGCTTTAAGAATAATTAGTGAATTTTCTTCATGGTATAATTCTATAACACCTGCTCTCTTATTCAGGTCTGTTTCCCCTCCAAAATTAATGTTGAAACTTAATCCCCAATGCAGCAGTATTATGTACAACATTTATAAGGCTATTAGGCCATGAGAACTCCACCCTTATAAATGAATTAGTGCTGAATAAAAGATCTCAAGCTCGTGAACTTACCCCTTCTGTCCCTTCTGCCATGTGATGACACATATTTTGCCCCTGCAGAGGATACAGTGACAAGGTGCCATCTTGGAAGCAAAGACTGAGCCCTCGGTAGACACCAACCTTGCTGGGGCCTTAATCTTGTACTACTCAGCCTCTGTAATTGATAAACAACAGAAAAATTTTCTGATAAAAGAAGTAAATTTCTGATGTTAATAAATTACTCAGTCTGTAGTATTTTGTTAGAGCAATACAAATGAACTAAGACAATACCCAAGATGGACTAATCTGGGAAATGTTCATAGCAACAAAAAAGGAAAAGCACAGTTTCTCCACACATCTACATTATTTATCCATATCAATATCTCATCACTTAATAGATTACCTTGAAAAGACAAAAAAAATTACTCAAGTGCCTGTTACAAAATTAACCTTTATTTTTTCAACTTCTTGACATTCCAAAACTTACTATATTATCCCACTATACCTCAAAAAAATCGAAAGTACAGTTTTTACCAGAATGATCTACAAAGGAAAAACTGTAGAGTAATAATACGGTAGGGGGTATTAACAGTCATAAATTATACTCGCAAACTTAAGACAACTTTTTAACTACAGACTTTAAAAACATGTTCTCACTCATAAGCGGGAGTTGAACAATGAGAACACATGGACACAGGGAAGGGAGCATCACACTCTGGGGCCTGTAGGGGGCTGGGTGAGGGATAGCAGTAGGAGAAATACTTAATGTAGATGACGGGTTGATAGTTGCAGCAAACCACGATGGCACGTGTATACCTATGTAACAAACCTGCCCGTTCTGCACATGTATCCCAGAACTTGAAGTATATTAAAAATTCTAAAACAAAGTTAGTGATAGAAAACCTTGTCAACATTTCATAGTTGGTTGCTTTAATCTGTTTACCCTTATGCTTCAGATGCTCTTATAAAGCTGTCTTTCCTTCTTTATTTTTTAAAAAAAGGGTTTTTTTGGCCTATACATCATAGATGTCTCATTTCAATGTTTTCCTCCTTCTAACTGATGATTCTATTTAAATTTCTCTGGCATTTGAACTGAGATTTTAAAAGATATTAAACATGCATATGTATACACATATAATACCTCTATATTAAATTCATATGTATGTAAACATAAGATTTCTAATTTTATTTCATTTTATATAGGTACCTATATACAAAGAATAAATTGTGAGACCAAAGGAAATGTTTTACATTAAAACAACATTTTTATTACATAAAAAAATGGCTGACATATTAAATGCATTTATTTATAGTTATTTCAGATAAAAACTAAAAAAAATAAAATTGTGTTTAAACATTGTCATCATTGTTGGGTAAATCAAATACCATAAAGATTTAGATATAGAAAATGCCAATTTGTTGAATAAAATCTTAAAGCATTTTAAGAAATCTATATTTTAATTTCATATCAAGAGTATATATAATGACTATTGATAATCACTAGTTGTAGGATGTCATTTTCAAATAGTTTGATATTGGACATCCCATATAAATTTGACTTGTTATACAAAAGCACAAGGAATTTTTCACACTTAAGTTCTCTCTAATATGTGTAATTCAAGGTATAGTTTATTTTTAACATTTGTATAGCAAAACTATGAAGTATTGCAGTAACATGTTCACCATATTATCTTGTATGCTTGGGTTTATCAGTCATTTTAAATTAGCGTATTTTCCATATGTTACATAATATTCATATACTGCTTTAATTATTCTAAAGAGAGAAAAGCATTTCAACATGAAAGGTTTGTTGTTGTTGCTGTTGTTGTTGTTGTTTTAAAACTCCACTCTCATTTACTGTCTCACTGGAAAGACCTGAATGCCAGTTTAAAGAACTTCTTCCTCTGTCTTCACATTTTGTAACTCCAGCATATGTTCCTTTTAAGGTCTTGCAGGGAGTATTGATCATTGTTTGGAGTGGTTTTGTGTTGAGCTACACAACACCCAACTAGCATTCTAGTCTGTTAAACAAAGATTTTAGTGGATAACGATATTCTGGACAAAATGAAGAAAGCTACAAATATCCAAGCTATCTAGACCATAATTTAAACCTCACTATTTTATTTTAAAGTGCTATCATTTTATGAACATGAATGACATTGTTGACTGCATTTCTTAATATAAGCCTCAAGTTTCATATTATTTTCTATCAGTAAATAAAATAAAAAGCCTAATTTTGCATTAATATATATCTATGTAATTGGGATGAAGGGTTGCCAAGGGATTTGGACACTCATCATGCAAATTTACATGTAAATCTTTGATATAAACAATCCCAAACAAAGTTCATGATTATTTTCCCCAAAATAGAATAAACTTCCTAGTGTGTGAATCACCACACCTACTATGGCTAAAAACAGTTTAAATGTTCTTTTAGCTATTTTGAGAAATTTATACCATATGAACAGTATTTTTTTTTAAAAAAATCCCTGTTATTTGTATTATTATCCCTAGTGTTAAAGTGCATTTATTCATAGTGTTTGGATTATACTTTCCATTTGAAGTAAAACGTGTGTGTTACCACCCACCTCCAACCACCCCTGCAAAAATATGGATTCTGGCAAGCTAATAAGAACAAACTGATACCTCAGATACACATAGCTGTGGGTGGGCTGAGATCTACCAATCTGTGACATATGCCACTTACAGTCAGCTGACAAAGGTTGTGTAGGTTGAAATAATATGTGCAAAGCAAAATAAAACCAAAAATGTTTTGTTTCTAACTTTATGAGATTGGCATATTTCACCCCCTTTAATTATTTGATTATTTTGCTAAATAAAGATAAAATACACTTTGGTAGTGTGCCCAAAATTATTTTTTGTAAAATTTGACCAAACAAATAAAACTGCTACAAATTTAGCACCCAAATTACAATTATTTTACTTATTTACAAATAATAAGGTATTCTTTAGAGGGGTTAAGATTTTCTCCATCTGTTCGTGTTTTTTTGTTTGTTTGTTTGTTTTGGTTATGGTTTATTTTTTTGAAACATTACTATTACGAGCTTTTGAAATTTTGCAATAGCATGTTTTAACTATATAAGAATCTCCTTATTTCATGGCACTGGTTCAGGCATTTCACGTTCCTACCAGGATGGTTTTATTTTGACTGTGATAACCTAAAGTTTATCAATTAATTATAAAGTCCTTCTGATTATAAGAAGTTTATTGTTTTAAAGAAAACCTCGATACATAATAAGACATTAACCATTTTTTGTTATGTATAACAAATAAACCTTTCTAAGCCATATTATGTAGCTTCAGTTCAAATATTTTATTTCCATCTTATTAATTTTCAAGAAATAAATGTTCAAATGGCACGTCTCAATTTTTATTTATGTGATAAATATATGTTAAATAACATTGATGATTTTAATGCACATTTATGAGATAAAAATGTTTCTCATTTTTTCATAAAAATGTTATGATACAAGAGTAATCTTAAAATGTGAGAATCTAGAACTAATGCCTGTACATAGTTTTTCTGGGCCAAGAAATTGTGAAAGTATTTACTTCTCTCTGGCACTCTAAAGCACTATGAATATCCTAGTTCAGATCCAATTTATGTAATTCAACTTTATTGAGGTGTAATTATGCAGTCAATGAAATGAATATATTTTAAATGTTCAATTTGATTATTTTAATAAATATGTATCACCATGTGAATGGTAACCACAACAATCAAGATATAAACTATTACTAGCACCACAGGAAGTTGCCCCATGACGCTTCACTGTCAGCCACTCTCCATCTCCCCTAATATATACCTCCAGCCAACAATGAGCTATTTTCTGGCAAGATAGATTAGGTTTACCTATTTTAAATTTTCACGTAACTATGTGTCTGGTCTTGGTGTCTGCTTTATGACCTAGCATTTTAAAATGTATTTTGTTCACCTTTTTATGTATTTTGCATGTATAATACATTATGTGTGTGTTAGTGGGTATTTATTATGTGTATTAATAATTTGGTAATTATAATTATAATTACCAAAATTAAAAATAATAATAATTATTATAATTATAATTTTAATTTTTTTTTTGAGACGGAGTTTCACTCTTGTTGCCCAGGCTGGAGTGCAATGGTGTGATCTCGGCTCACCTCAACCTCTGCCTCCCGGGTTCAAGCAATTCTCCCGCCTCAGTCTCCCGAGTAGCTGGGATTATAGACTACTCAATTACCACCGCACCCAGCTAATTTTGTATTTTTAGTAGAGATGAGGGTTTCTCCATGTTGGTCAGGCTCGTCTTGAACTCCTGACTTCAGGTGATCCGCTTGCCTTTGTCTCCCAAAGTGCTGGGATTACAGGTGTGAGCCACCGTGTCTGGCCAAATATTATCAAATATTACTTAATTGTATGAATACAGGGCAATTTGTTTATCCACTCACTTTCTAGTAAACTTTCATTCCCATTTTTTATTTATTGTGAGTAAAACTGTTGGGAATATGACTTATGTACAGGTTTCTGTGTAGACATGTGCTTCCTGGGTTGTTTTTTTTTTTTTTTTTGGATTGTTACCTAGGATTGAAATTGCTGGTTATACAATAAGTTTATGTTTGATATATTTTAAAAATGCGAAGCCTTTTAAGAGTGTGTGTACCATTTGTATTCCTATCAGCAACATAAGAATGTTCCTTCCAGTTTCTCTCCATCCTCATGATATTGTTTGTCTTTTTACTTAACTCATTTTGGTGGGTCTGTAGTGAATATTTTGTGCTGATGATTTTCATTTTGCTGATGACTAATGATTGTAAGTAGTTATCATGTAATTATAAGACATACATATAAATTTGTATTCAGGAATTATCCATTTATATCTAGTATACATTTTAATAGATGTTTATCTAATCTAGTTGTAAAATTTATTTTATACCTTCTTGCTGTGGATGAAATGTTTGTATCAACCCCAAAATGTCATAATGAGGGTTCAAAATTTCAATGAGGGTTATGATGTTTAGATGAGGTCATGAGGGCTGAGTTTACATATTGAGAGTAGTGTGCGATATATTTTGGCTGTACCCCCACCCAAGTCAGATCTTGAATTGTAGTTCCCATAATCCCCATGTGTTGTGGGGGGGAACTTGAGGGAGATGTTTAGATTATGGGGGCAGTTTCTCCAAACTGTTCTCATGATAGTGAGTGAGTTCTCACGAGATCTGATGGTTTTATAAGGAGCTTTTTCCCATTTTGCTCTGCAATTCTCTTCCCTGCCACCATGTGAAGAAGGAAGTGACTGTTTCCCCTTTTTCCATGATTGTAATTTTCCTGAGGCCTTCCCAGCCCTGCAGAGTCAATCAAGCCTCTTTTCTTTATAAATTACCCAGTCTCAGGTATATCCTTATAGCAGTGTGAGAACAATCTAAAACAGTAAATTGGTACCACAGAGAGTGGGCATTGTTGTAAGGATACCCAAAAATGGGGAAGCAACTTTGGAACTGCATAACAGGCAGAGGTTGGAACAGTTTGGAGGGCTCAGAAAAAGACAGAAACATGTGAGCAAGTTTAGAACTTCCTAGAGACTTGGATGGCTCAGAAGACAGGAAGATGTGGGAAAGTTTAGAACTTCCTAGAGACTTGCTGAATGGCTTTGACCAAAGTGCTGATACTGGTATGAACAGTGAAGTCCAGGCTGAGGTAGTCTCAGATGGAGATGAGGAACTTGTTGAGAACTGAAGCAAAGTGACTCTTGCTATGCAAATCAACTGGTGGCATTTTTCCCCTGCCCTAGAGAACTGTGGAACTTTGAACTTGAGAGAGATGGTTTAGGGTATCTGGTAGAAGAAATTTATAAGTGGCAAAGTGTTCAACAGGAAGCAGAGCATAAATGTTTGCAAAGTTTGCAGCCTGACATTGTGATAGAAAAGAAAAGCCCATTTTCTGGGGATAAATTCAAGCTGGCTACAGAAATTTGCAAAGGTAATGTGGAGCCAAATATTATTCACCAAGACAATGGGGGAAATGTCTCCAGGGCATGTCATAGACCTTCATGGCAGCCCCACCCATCACAGGCCTAGAGGACTAGGAGGAAAAAATGGTTTTCTGGGCCAGGCCCAAGAACTTGCTGCTTTGTGCAGTCTCAGGACTTGGTGCCCTGGATTCCAGACTTGGCTAAAATGGGCCAATAGACAGCCAAGGCCATTGCTTCAGAGGGTGCAAGCCCCAAGCCTTGGGAGGTTTCACATGGTGTTGGGCCTGTGGGTGCAAAGAAGTCAAGAATTGAGGTTGAGGAACCTCCACCTAGATTTCATAGAATGTATGGAAGCTCCTAGATCTCCAGGCAGAATTTTGCTGCAGGGATGGAACCCTCATGGAGAACCTCTGCTAGGGCAGTACAGGGCAGAAATGTGGGGTTACAGCCCCCACACAAGGTACTGCATAGTGGAGGTACTGCATAGTGGAGCTGTAGCCACTGAGGTACTGCATAGTGGAGCTGTAAGAAGAGAACCACAGTCTTCCATACCCCAGAATGGTAGATACACACAGAGTTTGCACTGTGCACCTGGAAAAGCTGCCCATGAAACCAGCTGGGAAGGTGGCTGTACCCTTCAAAGCCACAGGGGCAGAGCTGCCCAAGGCTGTGGAAACCCACCTCTTGCATCAGCATTACCTGGATTTAAGACATGGAGTCAAAGGCGATCACTTTGGAACTTTAAGGTTAAAGCCTGCCCTGTTGGATTTGAGACTTGCATGGGGCAGTAGTCTCTTCGCTTTGGCCAATTTCTTCCACTTGGAATTGGTGTATTTACCCATTGACTGTACCCCCATTATAACTTGGAAGTAACGAGCTTGCTTTTGATTTTACAGGCTCATAGGCAGAAGGAACTTGCCTTGTCTCAGATGACACTATGGACTTGGACTTTTGAGTTAATCCTGAAATGAGTTAAGACTTTGGGAAACTGTTGGGAAGGCATGATTGTGTTTTGAAATGTGAGGACATGTGATTTAGGAGGGGCCAGGAGCAGAAAGGTATGATTTGGCTGTGCCCCCACCCAAATCTCATCTTGAACTATAGTTCCCATAATTCCCACATGTTGTGGGAGGGATCTTGTGGGAGATAATTGAATCATGGGGGCGGTTATCCCCATGCTGCTATTCTCATCATAGTAAGTGAGTACTCATGGTTTCATAAGAGACTTTTCCCCATTTTGCTCTGTACTTCTTCCTGCCACCATTTGAAGAAGGACTTGTTCACCTCCACCATAATTGTAATCTCATGAGGCCTTCCCAGCTCTATGGAAATGTGAGTCAATTAATCCTTTTTTCCTTTATAAATTACCCAGTCTTAGGTATGTCCTTAAAGCAGCATGAGAACAGACTAAGACAATCCTTATAAGAAAAGAAGAGAGACCAAAGCTCTCTTGCTCTGCTCATGCACAGGGAAGAAGATCATGTCAGCAAACAAGGCCAGGAAGAGGGTCCTCATCAAGGGCCAATCTGCTGACACCCTAATGTCAGATTTCCAGCCTCCAGGACTGTGAAAAATGCCTGTTGTTTAATTAAGCCTCCTAATCTTTGGCATTTTGTTATGGCAGCCCCAGATAACCTAAGTCACTTCCAGATTACAAATATTTGTCTTTATACATTCTAGATTTATAGTCCTTTACACTGTGCACATTTTTCCCTGTCTGTGATATCCATTTGTATCTTCTTAACAATGTCCTGCAAGGACCAAATTTTCTTTGCTTTAATTTTTTTTGAAATCCAATTTATTTTTAAAATATAATTAGTGGGATGTTTTGTGGCTTAACAAATAGATATTTATCTTATCCAAGTTCATAAATCTCTCTTTCATATTCTAAATAATTCATAATTTCAGTTTTTACATTTAAATATATGCTATAATAAATGGTATTCTTTTAATTTATCAATTATTTCTAGTATATAGAAATATAATTAGTTTTTCAAGTGTAAACAATTTCTTGTGATCTTGGTATATTTATTCATTAGTTATAGTAGTTTCAGCTAGATTCCTTCAATTTTACCTGACTATCATACTTTATGTGAATAAAAAAAGCTTTGTTTTTTCTTATCCAGACTGAAGCTTTCATTTAATTTTTGTGGCATGTTCACTGAATAGACCACATAGTAAATGTTGATTCAGAGTGCTGAGAATGGATATTTTCGTTTGATGTTAGGTAAAAAGTTTTCTGCCTTTCAATATTGAGAAGATTGATGCTTTTTCTTCTGGTTCACTAAGAGATTTTATTGTGATGGGAATTGTTACAGTTTGGATGTAGTTTGCCTCTCCCAAAACTTAAATTGAAGTTTTATCCCCATGTTGGCTGTGTGGAAATGTAGGGCCTAGTGGGAGGTATTTGGGCCATGGGGGAAAATCCTTCATGAATAGATTAATGTGTTCACTCAGGAGTTAATGAGTTCTTGCCATCCTGGAATCGGATTAATTACCACAAGAGTGGGTTGTTAAAAAGAGTCTGGCTTCCTTGGTTTCTATCTCTTTCTTTCTCTCTCACCATGTGATCTCTTTGTACACATCCTCTCCCCTTCCTCTTTCTGTGATGAATTAAAGCAACACGAGGCCCTCACCAGATGCAGCCACCCAATCTTGGACTTGTCAGTCACCAGAATTATAAACCAAATAAACCTATTTTCTTTGCAAATTACTCAGTCTCAAGTGTTCTACACAAAATTAATTGAGACAGAGATTAAATTTTGTTAAATGATACTTTTGCATGAATTGAGATAAAATAATGTTTTTTGATTATTCTATTAATTTAGTGCATTTTATTGGTTAATCATTAGATATTAAGTTTGTTTTTCTAAAAATAAGCATAAATTGAATATAATATGTATTTTATATATTATATGTATTTCAAAATTTGATTCACTAAAATTTCCTTAAAGAGTTTTTCTTCTCTAACCATGTTACTTTTTTATTTCAAATGCTTCAAGGATTTTCTAAAATATTTTATATTATTGATTTCTAATATAACTTTGCTGTGGAAAAAAAACAACAACATGCTCTTTGCATATTAATCCCCTTAGTGAGTCTTGATTTCACCAGCATAGTCACTATCTTAGGGCAGGTACAATTTATACTTGGCAAAAAATTTCTATTCTATCATTATTTTGCAGAGTGTTTTGACTTTTTAAAAATTTTTAAAGGTGAATTTCATTTTTTTTTACTTCTATTTTCAGATCAGGTGTACATGTGCAGGTTTTTTACATAGGTAAACTCATGTCACAGGGGATTGTTGTACAGGTTATTTTGTCACCCAGGTATCAAACCTAGTAACCATTAGTTATTTTTCCTGATCCTCTCCCTCCTCCCACCCTTCACCTTCCAATAGGCCCCAGTGTCTGTTGTTCCCTTCTAAATGTCTGTGTGTTCTCATCATTTAGTTCCCACTTATAATTGAGAACATGCAGTATTGGTTTTACGTTCCTGTGTTATTTTGCTAACGATTATAGCCTCCAGCTCTCCTCATGTTCCTGAAAAGGACATAATCTCATTTTATATGGCTGCATAGTAGTCCATGGTGCATATGTACTACAATTTCTTTATCCAGTCTACCACTGATGGACATTTAGGTTGATTCCATGTCTTTGCTATAGAAAATACTGCTGCCATGAACATACACATGCATGTTTCTTTATGATAGAATGATTTACATTTCTTTGGGCATATATTCAATAATGGGATTGCTAAGTTGAATGGCAGTTCTATTTTTAGGTCTTTGAGGAATTTTCACATGGTTTTCAACAAAATAGTGAACCAATTTACAGTCCCACCAACAGTGTATAAGTGTTCCTTTTTCTCCACAACCTCAACAGCACCTATTATTTTTTGACATCTTAATAATAGCCATTCTGATGTGTGAAATATTATCTCATTGTGGTTTTGATTTGCATTTCTCTAATGACTGGTGATGTTGAGCTTTTTCTTTCATATGTATGTTGGCCACTTGTATGTCTTCTTTTGAAAAGTATCTGTTCATATGCTTTGCCCACTATTTAAGGGAGTTGTTTGTTTTTCTTCTAAATTTGTTTAAGTTCCTTATAGATGCTGGATATTAGACCTTTTTCAGATGCATAATTTGCAAAACTTTCCTCTCATTTTCTAGGTTGTCTGTTTACTCTATTGATAATTTCGTTTGCTATACAGAAGCTCTTTAGTTTAACTAGATCCCATTTGTCAATTTTTGCTTTTGTTGCCATTGCTTTTGGCATCTTCATCATTCAATCTTTGCCTGTTTCTATGTCCAGAATGGTATCGCCTAGGTTTTCTTCCAGGGTTTTTATAGTTTGGATTTTACATTTAAGTTTTTAATTCATCTTCAGTTGATTTTTATATTTTATAAGGAAAGAGTCCAGTTACAGTCTTCTATAGAGGGTTAGCCAGTTCTCCCAGCACCATTTATTGAATAGAAAGTTTTTTCTCTTTTGCTTGTTTTTATCAGCTTTGTCAAAGTTCAGACAGTTGTAGGTGTGTGGCCTCATTTCTGGGCTCTATTCTGTTCCATTAGGCTATGTGTCTGTCTTTGTACCAGTACCATGTTGTTTTAGTCACTGTAGCCCTGTAGTTTAGTTTAAAGTCAGGTAATGTGATGCCTCCAGCTTTGTTACTTTTCTTCAGGATTGCTTGGCTATTTGGGCTCTTTTTTGTTTCCATATAAATTTTAAAATAGGTTTTTCTAGTTCTGTGAAGAACGTCATTCGTTGTTTAATAGAAATAGCATTGAATCTATAAATCACTTTGGGAAGTGTAGTCATTTTCACAATATTGATTCTTCCTATCCATGACCATGAAATGTTT
This sequence comes from Homo sapiens, assembly GCF_000001405.40. Lineage (NCBI taxonomy): Eukaryota > Metazoa > Chordata > Mammalia > Primates > Hominidae > Homo > Homo sapiens. Next base: position 94,723,170 of record NC_000006.12, on the reverse strand, counting down.
TCTCATTTATTTTTTTCTTCTCTGATTTCTTCAAGCAGTGGATTTTAGTTCTTGTAGAGATCTTTAGCCTCCATGGTTAGGTGTATTTCTTGGTACTCTATTCTTTTTGTGGCAATTTGTGAATGGGATTGTATTCCTGATTTGGCTTTCAGCTTGACTGTTGTTGGTATACAGGAATATCAGTAATATTTGTACATTGATTTTGTATCCTGAGACTTTGCTGAAGTTGTTTAGCAGCTTAAGGAGCTTTTGGGCCAAGACTATGGGGGTTTTCTATATATAGAATCATGTTGTCTCAAAACAGGGAAAATTTGACTTTCTCTCTTTATATTTGGATGCCATTTCTTTTTCTTCCTCTTGCCTGATTGCTGTCCAGAGCTTCCATTACTGTATTGGATAGGACTGGTGAGAAAGGGCATCCTTGTGTTGTGCATAGAGGTGTTCATAATATTCTACAATGGCATGTTGTATTTCTGAGGGGTCAGTTTAATGTCCTCATTGTTATGTCTAATTGTGTTTATGTATTTTGATTTTCTGTCTTTTCTTTATTAGTCTAGCTAGTGGTCTGTTTTATTTTATTTATTTATTTATTCTCAAAAAATCAACTCCTGAATTCATTGAAGTTTTGAATGATTTCTTGTGTCTCAGTCTCTTTCAGTTCAGCTCTGATTTTGGTTATTTCTTGTCTTCTGCTAATTTTAGGATTGGTATGCTCTTCGTCCTCTAGGTTTTTTAGTTGTGGTATTAGGTTATTGAATTGAGAACTTTCTAACTTTTTGATATTGGCATTTAGTGCTATAAATTTCCCTCTTAACACTGCCTTAGCTGTGTCCCAGAGATTCTGGCATGTTGTATCTTTGTTCCCATTAGTTTCAAAGAACTTCTTGATTTCTGTCTTAATTGTTATGATTTCATTTCTTTTACATTTGCTGAGGAGTGTTTTATGTCGAATTATGTGATTGATTTTGGAGTATGTGCCATATGATGATGAGAAGAAAGATATTTCATTGGTTTTGAGTGGAGGATTCTATAGATGTCTATCAGATCCATTTTATCCAGTGCTGAGTTCAGGTCCTGAATATCTTTATTAATTTTCTACCTCAATAATCTGTCTAATATTATCAGTAGTATGTTGAAGTCTGTCACTGTCATTGAGTGGAAGGCTAAGTCTCTTTGAAGGTATCTAAGAATTTGCCTTATGAAATTGGATGCTCCTGTGTTGGGTACATGTATGCTTAGGATAGTTAGGACTTGTTTTTGAATTTAATCCTTTACCAATATGTCATGCCCTTCTACGTATTTTTTTATCTTTGTTGTTATAAAGTACGTTTTGTCTGCAATTGTCTTTGCAACTCCTGCTTTTTTCTGCTTTCCATTTGCTTTGCACATTTTTCTCCATCACTTTATTTTGAACATATGGGTGTCATTGCCCACAGCAGCAGCAGTGGCAGCATAACGAGTGCAGGCTCATTAGCTGTGGCAGGATGCTAGCAGGTGCTGGGGTGAGGCAGCATGGTTGGGGTGGCATGTGATACCCACTGGTAACTGTGCAGGTAGTTGCACTGGTGGTGATATTAGCATGGAGTTGGGGCACTGGCAGGTGCAGCCAGAGTGTTTTTAAAATGTAAATTCATTAATTTGGTTGATACTGTTGTCAATTACTTATGAAAGAGAAATACTGAAATTTCTAGATATAATAATACATTTGTCTATTTCTGTTCATAGTTCTGTCAGTTTTGTTTCATATATTTCGAGCATTGATGTTAAATATATATAAATATTTGGGATTGTTTTGTTTTTTCAATTAAAATATTTATTTTGATATGCCCTCTTTATCTCTTATAATATTCTTCACACCAGTCTTTATTCTCATAAAAATATAGCTATTCCAACTTTCTTAAGATATTTATATAATTATGATTCATATATGAGTATACTTGCACTATGTATTTTTAATGTTTTGGCTGTCTGTTTCTTTATAGTTCATGTGCATCCACTGGAAATGCCTACAGTTATATTTTACTTTTTTTTTAATCTACTCGAGTCATCTCAGGGAGGGTGTATTGCTTTTTTATTGAAATGTTTTAGACCACTTACATAGAATGTAATTATCAATATGACTAAGTTTAAATATACTATCTTGTTATTTTTTTTTAAGTTGTCCCATGCATTCTCTTCTAGTTGCCCTTGGTTCCTTCATTCGGGCAGTTTCTATTACTTTGTGTAGTTCTAGGTTCTTCTACTGTCACGTTCTTTTGGTCCCAATAATTTATTTTACTATTTCTTAAATGCAGATTCATGGCTATGAGTAGATCGTGCTGTATTTTTCTGAAAAGGGCTCTATTTGGCATTAACTTTTGAGGGTGATTTTTATTCAATACGAAATTTCATTTGACAGTTGTATGTGTTTTTGCATTTAAAGATGTCGATATAATTTTGGCTTCGTTTTTTAAAACAAGAAATCAGAACTCATTTCATTATTTTTAAATTTTTTGTTTTTTTTTTTTCTGCATGTTTTTAGTATTTTCTCCTCCCTAGGGTTTTAACAATTTGATTTGATGTAATTTGGTACGGTTTTCTTTCTCTTTATTTCATGTATCTCATTTAGCCATTTGGATCTTGCGTTTACAGTTTATATCAATTTGAAAATTTTTCAAACATTCAAACATTCCTGATTCTCCTCCTGGGAATACAATTATGCACATCTTAGACCATTGATCCACAGTTCATCAAAACTCGCTTACTCTGTTATTTTTAGAAAAAAATTATTTCAGTTTAGTGTTTATCACTATCTTCAAGTTCACAATTGTTTTTACTGTAAGAATGTGTGTGTTAAGTTGATGTTAAATTCTTTTTTACTGTAAAAATGTGTAAGTGTGTAAGTTGCTGTTAAAGCCATTTAGTAGTTTATTTTATTTTATTTTTTAACTTTTAGTTTCAAGGGTACATGTGCAGGTTTGTTATATAGGTAAATTGTGTGTTGCCAGCGGTTGGTACAGACTATTTTCTCACCCAGGTAATAAGCATGGTGCTCAATAGGTAGGTTTTAGATCCTCACGCCTCTCCCACACTCCACACTCAAATAGGCCCTAGTGTCTATTGCTCTCTTCTTTGTGTATGTTTTCCATGTCTAATTTGTTCTCTTTTTCTCAATATCTTTTAGTTTTCTTTACATTTTTTCATGTTTTCTTCAGATCTTTCAACATTTAAAGTCAGTATTCTAAAGTCTCTCTTATCTTTAGGTCTGTTTCCATTGACTGGTGTTTTTCCATGTATGGGTAATATTTCCTTTTTCACCCATGTTTTCTCTCTTTGCTTTTCACTTTCTTTTTCACTTTAGCATTTGATTAAATGATGAGAATTGTGATTGTTACATTCCTAAGTGTTTTTTACAGATTACTTGCCCACTATATTGACTTTGAAATGGACAGAAAGTTACATTTATCCTCTTGCAATCACAAATAACACTGAAATAAACATGCATATACATATTTCCTTATGACTCACTGAAGATGTATTTGGAAAATATTACTAGAAGTATTATTTCTAGGTTATAAGTATTTGTATTTTCAATTTGTCTAAGTAGTACCATATCGCTCTCTTGAATGGTTCCCTTAATACTCTCTCATTAGCGATGCTACCAGTTCATCTTCCTCCTCAACATTTTATGTATGTATTTATTAATTGACAACTAAAAATGGTACATATTTCTGAAGTACATGATGTTTTAATATATGTATATACTCCAGAATATTTAAATGATGCCAATTAACATAAGTATTACTTCACATACTTATTTGTGTTTGTCTGGTAAATATATGTAGAATCTAGTCTTGTAAGTTTTCAAGTAAACAATATATTATTATTAACTATTGTCACCATGATATATAACTCTTTACCTATTCATTCTAACTGAAATTTTGTTTCATTTGGTCAACATCTTCCCAATTTCCCCATCCACAAACCTACCTCTGGTAACTGTCATTTCACTCTTTGCTTCTTTCTATGAGATCAATTTTCTAAATATTCCACATATAAGTGAGATCATGCAGTATTTATCTTCTTGTGTCTAGATTATTTCACTTAATATAATGCATTCTAGATTCATCCATGTTGTGGCAAATGACAGGATTTCCTTCCTTTTTAAGACCGAATAGTATTCCATTGTGTATATATGCCACATTTTATTCTTTATTCCTGAGGTACTGAAAACATACATTGAATCAATATATTGGCTATTGTAAAGAATACTGCAATA